>NC_000003.12:66070606-66373636 GCF_000001405.40 Homo sapiens | reverse complement strand
TATAAATTACCACTATGTCCTTCCTGCCTGAAAGACAGATGAGCCTCCCTGCTCCTACCTTACGAAGGAAAGAGTGCTAGACAGGCGGCCAGCAGATGCCGAGCTGTGGGAGACCACTCTGGCCACAAAGTTCTCCCACCTTTACTACCTTACTTATTTCTAAACGCCAGTGTCTTGTTCAGCTTCTGCCACTCACAAGCTCAGCTGCTCCTGGCAAGACACAGATGGAAGCAGTTTATGGTTTCAACAGATGACCACTGAATCTATTAACGTAATTACGGCCTTAACGTGGAGTAATTTGTACAGTGAGGGCCCCAGCCAGTCTCGCAGGTGAAGACTTTTGAGTTGAGCAGGAGCGTGTTCTAGTGCCCACAGATTAAATGAGAGCAAACGTAAGCACTTACAATGCCAGACAGAAAGGGATGCTCGCGGCAGTGGCAGCTACTACATAAAGGGCACAGTCAACAAAAACAGAAAGCCAGCTGATGAGTGAAGAAAACCAGAAAGGGGCCATCCGGGGTGGGCAGGCTCCCCATCTGCCTTTGGCTACGGGGCTGAATGAACACGCGGTGTTTGTTTAGTAATATATTTCTGTTTATATGTGTACTCCCATATGCGCCAGAACAAGGTCTTCACCTGCGTGGACCACACGGAAAGATAAAAGTGGTCGCCACTTGACTTGACCCCGAGAGGGCAGCACCATTCCATCCTAAGGTGAGGAGATGGTGTCTGCTGGAAAACCCAAGTAGTACCTAGTAAACTTAGTGCACGCCCCGGGGAGGAGACAGGAGGTGGCAGCAGCGCTGTGTGCTTGGAGCACAGAGGAAGCTGGCAGAGATACCTTCAGGCTGAGGGTGCCTGGGACCTCTGTTCACAACAGCCACCCAGGTTTTTCTGTGACTGTTTTTTAGTCAAATTATTTATTGTCTTTAATCATTAATAAGTGGCTAATCAAAACTCCCTTAAGTGACGACCGCTGCTGTCTGTAATGCTCTTAGGGACTACACTGTACAGACTGACTAGAGCCCATGACTTCTGAGACTTTCCGAAGATAGATAAGCAAAAAAAATTCCACATGACCTTTACAGAGCTGACAATGGGGACAGGGACAGGCCCTTGACCTGAGGAAGACACCCCTCCTCTGCCTGTATTTCTGGCACTGCTTAGTATTATAACGTCAAGTATAAGACATGCCACAACCAGGACAGGGAAGACTATCTTCAATCATCTACTCAACATAACTCCTACCAGCTTTTGGGGCCATGGGGTTGCCAGTCGATCATGCCATCCCCACCTGCCACCACTGTCTCCAGAAAAGGCTGAGGGGCTGCAGCTCTGCACAGCTCCACAAAGCTAAGGTCAATTGAAGTGGTTTGCCCAACAGTTGCCACAGAATCAAACATGAACTACACTGAAATCAGTAGGACAGTGAAATTTGGCAGTTTGGTTTTACAGTCTAAAAAAGCCACTGAATGTGACTTCTCCATGTATGTAGCCCAATTGCTATTTGAAACACAGAAGAACTTTTTTGTTGTTGTTTTTTTGAGACAGGGTCTTGCTCTGTCACCCAGGCTGGAGAGCAGTGGCACAGTTGTAACTCACTATAACCTCGACTTCCCGGGCTCAAGCGATTGCTCAGCCTCCTGAGTAGCTGCGACTACAGGTGCGTGCGACCACACCAGGCTAATTTATTTATTTATTTTTTAGAGACAGAGTCTTGCCATATTGCCCAGGCTGGTCTCAAACTCCTAACTTCGAGCGACCCTCCTGCTTCAGCCTCCCAAAGTGCTGGGATTACAGGTGTGAGCCCCGCACCCGGCCCCTAAGCACCTTTTACCTGCTACTGGCTAAGTAGCTTCAGGACTCATTTTTTCTCACCCCATTCCTTTGTTTGCTGTGGAACTGGCAGCAGAATTAATGTGCCACAGATAGAAGCACCCCTCACGATATGGCAGCCCTAAGTGGCAGGCTCCCAGCACACATGCCCCCCACTAGGCCCTTCCCACGCTCTCACTAGACGTCAACAGCCAATTATTCCTCTGGCTTTGCCCCAGTTCTTGTTTCAAAACCGTGACACCCTTCACACCCCCAACGTCAATCCCTCAGAGTTGTCACATTCAACAAAACCATCCAATATCACCTACTTTTCAAACTTCCAACTGGAAAATTTCAATCTAGGATGTGCTGCTCTCCTATAAAAACCTTAACTGGGTCCTGACTCACCTACTTCATGTCCTCCAGATCATCAAATAGCTGAGATTAAAACTGCCAAAGGTACACAAAAACTACAATCACATAAGTGATCCAACTCGGCATCAGGATGAGGAGGTGGCACTGCCAGCTGAGACGCCCGAAGTCCAGGCAGCTGCCGACCGACCCTCTGCAAAGGGAGGCCACTGCTTTGCTCTTGCAAGAAAATCCCTGGTATATGGTCCCTAAGAGAAAAATCATCATTTCACATGCCTGTAAGATCTCAACATTCAGGCGGCTTCACAAGTTTATGGTGTCAAAGCAATGTTTTAATCTTGCAGAGAGAGCTTTTAGGACATGAAGCTAGAAGTCTGAGGCACTTCTGTAGCACAATGGTTCTCAATTGATGCTAATAGTGGAGTCATCCCACCTGCACTATGGTATGTTCAAAGTAATTTGTTACTAATAATAGTTAAAAGCATCAAAACCACAAATGCTTTCTTCTAACAATGTTCCCTTCACTCCCTTGTATTTCTGCACTGTGTAACCTCTGAGAAGCCCATTTTATCACTGCTGCAGCCCAGACCCTGGTGAGAGCCACACATGTGAATTTCATCTAACATCAAGATGGGCAAGGCTGAGAACTGCCTGGCTGGAATAATCCGTCAATTTGATTTGCTATGTTATCTCATATATACAACATCAACTATAATATTTTGCACAATAAATAGAAACTCAAAGCAGAACATAAGCAGAAGGGAAGGAGAGGTGTTCATCCAAAGTTAGGCTAAAGGAGGAGGAGTGGTGGAGAGGAAGAAAGGAAGGAGGGCATTCCTCGTCTTACCCTGCCAGCCCCTGTGACCGCCAGACCCCATGCAGGACAGAGAGCACATTCCCATCAGCAGTGCTGGAGCCAGCCTGTGTGAACAGACAAAGAGAAACCCGTTATCTTCTGAAGCTCCCAATCACACACTTGCCTCTCAGATATCCTCAGACACACAGCTCCCCGTCACCCTCATCTAGAACACAGTGTCAGATACCAGGGAGTTTCTTGGCAATCAGGACCTGGCTCGCTCGCCCAGAAGTGCTTACACTCCGATATGCAGGCAAGCAGGGATGTGGCCCATGCCACACAGGTGGCTGCTTATCAGAGCTCACGAGATGACTGATGAACTATTTAACAGCAGAAAGACAGAAGCACTATGAAGCAATGTGAGGAGGGCGGGGAATCATTAGTGTAAATGGTACAACTATGAAACCTGCATAAGCAGCTAATAAGCATATTTAATAGAGTGCCGTTTAAATGTTCCATTTAAAACGTGATTAACATTCTTAGGTTGGATCCTGCCACCTCCATACTAAAATTTGGCCCATTATTTGTTCTACTTTTCCACAAAGATAGGACTTTTTTGTTTTGGTTCAGTTCAGGTATGTTATACGTATGGCATTCTTTCAACTCTCTATCTAGCAGGGTTTTTTAAAACAATTTTTCTCTTAAACAAAATGGTTTCAACATTTCTGACAACTGTCTTAACCCATCCAGTTAAGGCCAACCATGACCCTAGGTTCAAAGCCTGTCACTTACCTGCCACATAGCAGGAGGCTCGTCAACCTCTCTGACCCTTAGGTTTGTCACCAGTAAAAACAGAGTTTATTTGAAGATGGTACTGCCAGGCAGTGGCTCTACCAGCCCTATGTGAAAATGACTGTGAAATGGTACAATATTATGTAGACACTGGGGACATTGTTCCATCAATGGCAGTTTTGTTAGAGGTTGCACAGGCAGCATAAGATGCTATTACAGGTAAATGGTAGCCATTTGTGTTCACTTTATACACCTGTAGTCCTAGTGCTAACAGATATGAGCATCTGAAGTATCTCCATTACATTATTTCACCACTTACCTTTGCCAGCGTAATTCTTGTCTTTGCCACGTCTAGAGGGGTGGTGACTGCAGCGGCAAATCCACCTGTACAAATAATACCCAACACCCAAGTGAGATCCTGTTTACTGTATAATTTTGTAATTTTTAGAATTCCTGACTCTGCCCAAATCACTTCGTCATTATGTACACCTGGCTGATTGAAGAACAGGATGCACACATGCACAATCTTTATCCACACGCTTCATTTCTTTTGCAGCGATACAGAACTGCATGAGAGAAGAAAATGCTCTACCCACTCAGGTGAAAAATACAAGGCTCCACAATTTATCTTGCTCTTTCATTAACTAGCAAACTAATGAGTGTGTATGTTTACATACATGATGAATGTGTACACATGACATACATGTATGTGGCCAGATGCCCACTCTCAATATGTGAGACACACTGCTCCTAATGGTTCTCAAAGGGTTCATGACTTTCTATAGGCCACTGTCTTTTGTTTTTTTTTTTTGTTTTTGTTTTTTTTTTTTTTTTTTGAAAAGACAGGGTCTCACTGTGTCTCACCAAGACTGGAGTGCAGTGGTGTGATCATAACTCACTGCAGCCTCACCCTCCTAGGCTCAAGTGATCTCTCCACCTTAGCCTCCTCCTGAGTAGCTGGGACTACAGCTGCGCACCACCATGCTTGGCTAATTTTTAAATTTTCTATAGAGACAGGGTCTTGCTCTGTTGCCCAGCCTGGTCTTGAACTCCTTGCATCAAGCACTCCTCCTGCCTCGGCCTCCCAAAGTGTTGGGATTACAGGCATGAACCACCACGCCCAGCCTGGACCACTGTTCTTTAAAGTGACTCCAAAATGCGTCTATCATTTCTGTTTTGCATATAGCAAAATGGACAAACAGACTCACATGTGACATTGTGGGGATTTTGGGTATACATGGCTGGATTCTTTGAATTAAAGGAGCAAAGCTTTTTGTGTTTCACGGGCTCCTGACAGCAGGCTAGTCAAAGTTACCTTTCTAAGCTCTCTTCTACATCTTCTTAGCCTGAGTCTCGCTTCAGCACACATTCCACATTATGGCTTCCTTCCTAACCTTCTCTCTCATGTTTGCGTTATCTGAATGTCGTGATGGCTGAACTGTACACAGATTGGACTTTTTGAAGGACTTTCTGTTTTAACATAAACCAAGTTTATGGTGTCAATATTACATTTAAAATGCAGTACAAAGATATATTCTAAATCCGAAGAGGCCCTACAGAGACAGAAATAATAAAAATCCTAAAAGGCATTACAAAGATTCAGCTTCCATGAGCTAGGGGTAAAGAGGCAGTGTTATAAGGGCAACAGGACACCCGTGTGTGAAGGATACTCCAGAAATAGCACTACTTTCCTTCTCGCTTTTGTGGCTTGTGGACAAGAAGGTCATCTGATCTCTGCCAAATATCTAATTATGATGCTGAAATAAGATTATACCAAGCCTCCTCCATATGGTAACACTGATTATGACACTGACTTTTTGAAAGGTGTACCTATTTATGCCCTCATGGTCCATTTCTGGTTACCCCTGAATGTCACACACCTTAGGGGTAATACTATCAACTGACATGAATATTTGAATCCCCTTGGGTTTAGCCATTTCAAATTATGACTATGTAAAACTCTTCATCTCCTATCCAGAGGTTGTCTGAAATTCAGAGACTTGCTAAGCTTTGTGTCTTTTAAATTTTTGTGGACTTGGTCTTGAAATCCTACTCTTTTAACCATATATTCTGCCCTGGAAAAGTAAATATACTTTTAGTTACATAACAGGATCCATGAACACTATCTGTCTCTCTCTCTCTCTCTCTCTCTCTGTGTCTGTCTGTCTGTCTGTCTGTCTATCTATCTATCTCCCCCAAGAAAGGAAGAAAAGGAAAAAAGACACAAGACACAAAGGCAACAAACTTTACTATCCCAAACTTCCCATACACCAAAATAACAGATTTGGTTTTGTTTCCCTTACCAGCAGCACGGTCTAGCCTGAAAGAACCCTTCTTTGGAGTTGGAAAGACCAACGCTTAAATCCCAGTTCTACCAGGTGTCTAGCCTTAGGTAATTACTTATTCTGTGGCTGAAGTACCTTATGAGCTAGGAACTCTTACATCCCCATGCTACAGGTGAGGAAACTGAGGCTTATGGAGGCTAAAAACTTGAAGATTTTACTTAGTGCAGAGCTGAGACGGGATCTAAAGCCTGTACTGACTCTGGAACTGGGACTCTTACCCACTGGTCTCCTAGTGGCCTCAGTTTTCTGATCTGTAAAATGCAGATAGTAGTATGACACAGGAATTAAATGGGCCTACGCAACATGTTTGGAACAGCATCTGGCTCACAGCAGTAATCACAAAATAATTAACTCTTTCCTTGGTGGCCAGAGCTAATGAGTGCTTTTTCTTCGTATCTTTAGACCAGCACACTCACAGCAGGCACTCGAAAACGCTTAATCGGTACCCTGGTCTATAGTTTTTATAAACTGAAAATTTCAACTCATCCTCTAAAAGGCAGGGAAAGGTAAAGGTAGGAGCTAATATCTGCAGTGCTTACTTCGTATCTGGCATGCCAGGAATGCACTAGGCACTTTCATTGATTATTTGATCTCATTTGCATAGGTGTTACTATTCTCATTTTACAACCAACTTACTTGCCCAGGCCACACAGCTGGTGCGGGACCTGGGACTGTCACATGTATGATGACTCCAAAAGTAATGCTCGTTCCACTACATAATGACTTTGATATATAAGACAAATTAAAATTTGTCCAATTGTTAAACCCACTTTCGTATGTGAAAATGTTCACAAACGATCCTAAACCAATTAAAAAGACCTAAAGGTTGATAAGGAACATCTAATAAATTTAGTTACTGCAAATCAAACTTATTTTGGCCATTAGCAAAGATTTACCATTCCTTTAGTGGGGATGCCTACCAATATTCTCTTGGAGATTTAGGTTTCATGAAAGTAATATGAAGAAAAGTTACAGACAGAAACATGTATGCTTCAATAGGTCCTAACTTTACTACCATGAGAGAAGTTGTATTTTATGTGTTACTAATAGACCAATTTGCCTGTCTTCAACTATCAAAGATTTCTCTAATTCACAGACCTCACAATGCTTTTGTAAGGCTGTAAGGAGGACTTGTGAAGATAATAGAATAGAATAATGGTCATAACGGGGAAGGGCTGGGGGCCAGGACTTTCAGTTAAAATGTAGTTATTTTCTACGTTTTATTTAAGGGCACTGTAAGCTACTGGTAATAAATACAAGGAACAGTCTAACATATGAGACAGGAAATAATTATTTGGTACAGCAATTACAGGCTGCTTTTGTGTTCAAAGCATCTGTGAAACAGTTTTCTATGGTCTCCACTGGAGTTAGGTTTGTACTGAATGTTAGGCTAACTGCTTTCGAGGACAGGATTCAGGAGAAACTAAAATTTTATGATAAAACTATTATCTCCTATTTCCTTGGGGAACAAATGCAGATTCCCTAACTGCCCCTGCCCCAACACCCATAAAGACAAAGTAGCCACCTTCCTACAATAAGGCTGGAGCTGTCACCTCTAAGCAGTGGCTGAGAATGTGGGGGCAGCAGTGGGGAAGTGCCCGAACCCACCCCTGGGCAACCTTGCTGCCATTCATTGCTCCTCCAGACCCTACGTTGCCCCTGATTAGTCTGGAAGGGAGAAGAGCACCACCATACCCCTCTTATGTGCGTGACCTCCAGTGAAGTGTGCAGATGTGGAAGACTTCCCCATCAACAAGAAGGAAAGTGTTTTTTGTTTGTATTTTAATAGAGATTGTGTCAGGCCTTCTCATTTGTTACCCAAATAATCCCTCACCCTGTTCTCGAATTTCAAACCCATGGAGAGATCGCAATCAATGTCTCTTTCCCTGCCTCTTTCTCCCCCACCCTCTTCTCTCCTAGAGAATGTACAGAGGTGTTTATTATGAGAAACTAATCAAAATATACTAGAGTACCAAATACCACTATAGTAGCAAATGTCATAATTACTTAGGCTGCATTATGGTTTATGTTTAGAAGTTAACTCGAAGCAAGGAAGTTGCAAAGTCCTTTTATCCCCCTAGTTTCACCCCGACCAGAAGCCAAGGGAATTTCTGTGCATGACAAGCCATCAACACCTCCAAGATCACGGGACATTTTTGGATATTTGCGCCAAGTAGTTTACAAAACAAGCATGAACAAGAAAGAGTGCCAAGGATGGCACACAGAATGGTTCATCTGCAATGATTTAGCCAATTTAAACTTGGAAAAGCACATGGGGATGAGAAATCTGATTTCTGATTTGAGGGCAAGTTTCATCACTGCTTTTATGGCCATGTAAGGGTAAAGTCTGCAAGTGCAGCGTGTATTTTAAAGGGACTTCACAAGACATCCTTCATCTCTATATGCTGTAAGGCACCATGTTGCAACTCTTACAGAATCTCACTTTTTCACAAATGGGAATATTTTCAAGTGATGTTTATCCTTCAGAAATGCCTTAAAATAGTAACCTCCTCTGGATCAACAGTTGTACCAAATAAAATTTCAAAATAAGGGATATAAATAAGCAATCTATTTATCTTTTGCTAAATATATGTGGTTCTACTGACAACAGATTTTTTGCAGGCCTTGGACAAACTCCTTCACTTATCAGAACTTCAGCAGAAAAAAATAAGATGCTTATATTGGAGGCATTTTAAAATTTACGAGCTATTAGAGGAGACTGTTGTGTACAGTAACTTTATTGATATGACATTCCTTCACTCAATCAAGAAGATGAATTACTGTGAAAGTAGGTTTTCATTTTCTGGATGTTAGTTGTTCTTATTGAAATAGTAGTAATTCCTTACATCGACTCGGTTTTGCAGAGTACAGAGTACTGACCATACATTATCTCAAGCCCTGAAGTAATCCCCTAAGGTAGGAATTGTTGCTTCTACATTACAGGTAAGGAAACTGGCACTCAGGAGGGTCCCAAAGTCTCATTCCTGAGTTGGGGAGCAAAAAGAGACTTCAGAATCCTGTAAGTCACACAGCTCAGCCTGTGCTAGATGTGTAGCCGTGGGCACCTCGCTCCCTTTCTCCATACCCCAGCATCACTGGAGCACCGGCTGTGCTGCCACACTCCCCAGGTGAGTCACCTTAACTGAAAGGGCCTGGATGGTAGGATCCTACCACATAGATAGAGGATGTCTGATAGGAAGTTCCCTTCTCTCACTCCTTCTGACAGTACAAGTGCTTAGTGTCTATTACAGAGTATTATTCTGAAAAGGAAACTGTAATTAATGCAAATTTCCTTAATAGTAACAATGTCTCTGCAAGCAAATCTTTGAATTGGGTATTCAAGGAATAGGACCAGAGAATATGTTCTTATTTCAACACATGGAAGTTTTATAGTATTGCTAACTTTAAAAAGTAGCCTTACTTATCCAGGATGACTTAATTTCCATAATGCGCTCATTTTGTCCCCAGGGCCCAGGAGAGTGTCTACAAAAATGCACATCTCTCTTAGGGACTGGGGAATAATGACTCCTGACCTCTGGAAAATGAATCAAGACCACCTACTTATTTAACACAGCTAATGACTATGTGTCATGTGGAAACGATCATCATCATAATCAATCTGGATTGGTTTCATGTCTACAGGCAAAATTCTTATTGTTGATTATCAATTCTACAAGTCAAATGAGTCTATTAATAAAGAGTACTATAAAATGAACATTTTGTTTTCTCAATCACGACAACAACAACAAAAATGACCATTAAACAAATTGCAAAATAATTATTTTCCAATAAAGTTAACACCCTAAACCTCCCCTACTGGCTTCACATCTCAACTAAAAGTTTCCTTTTCTGGCAAATTTCCATTGTATTTCAACTATAATTCTAATTTAACGTTGTAACAACAAAATATACTTCTCTCTTAGGCTTTTAAACATATCACTTATTAAGCTCTTTAAAGCATTTGAGTTCTCGTTAAAGCCTCACTTGAAAATTCATATGACTTAGTGATGGATAACACGGTATTGCATATTGTCACCTCGCTCTTGCTTTAATGTCTCGAAAATGCCCAGATGTGTAGATCTCCATACTTCCTACACAGAACAGTTTACCCTTCAGTAAGTTATGGAGGAGCCTCTGCTCTCCTGACACTAGTTAATCTACAGTGCTGTCAAACATGTCACACAAACCGTGAATCATGGCCTTCTGCAGAAATCGCTTAAACCCCCTAAGCACTGCCCAAGGCAGACAGCTGCATGGTGAGCCCTGCACCCACAGCAAGTCTCTTCCCACAGAGGACTTTATAAATCATCTTTAAGGTAATTCCAGGGCCTGAGTGAAGGCTTTAATAAAGATAAAAAGAAAAAGAAAAATTTGTCAAAAACAAATTGGTTGTCTTTCAGGCAGACACCTTTTTAGCAGTTTTTTTTTTTTTTTCCCCTCTAAGACACGTTCTTTTCTCAAACAACTAGTGGAGCGCTCTTCATCTAAACAACCTGGAATGTCTAAAGAATGTTGTTTTTGCATAGTTAATATTTTCACATTTTTCCCCCTCTTTGGTCTTTCCCAGTATAATATAATCCTTTGCACCTGCAAAAGCTCCACAGACTGCTGACTGCCAAGAATCCACCACATGATCCTGCCTCCAGGACCAGAGGGCCTGTGTTTAAGGAGAAAGAAAAATACAAGTTATTAAATATTTGAATTTATCGGAACCTCCTGTGGGTTAGCTCTGGGGATGGGAACTTAAGTGAGAAGCTATTTTGGTGGCATTCTTTACTGATGACATAAGTGACTTTCCCAAAGACTTAACAGCTTTCTAAAATAAGTCACAGAAATGAGAGTGACAGCTACATTAGAGTGCTCAAAGTAAACAATTTTCAGAGAATACATATGTGTGTGTGCACGCACACAAAACATCATCGCCACAATTCAGATAGTGAACTGACTCATGACCCACAAGTTTTCTTGTATCCCTATGTAACCCCTCCTTCCTGTCCTTCCTCACTATCCCCCAAGCAATCTGATCTGTCATTCTAGATTAGTATGCCTTTCCCAGAATGTTATATCATTGTAATCACATATTTTTTTTAAATCCAACTTCTTTTATTCAGAATTATTTCGTGATTCACCCACGTCATGCAGATATCAACAGTTGCCTTCTTCTTCATTAGTAATATTCTGTTGTATGGATATACCGTGATTTACGCATTTACCTGTTGATGGACATTTGGGATTTTTCCAGTTTGGGGCTATTACAAATAAAGCCACCATGAACATTTGTATACAGGTCTTTATATGTATACATGCTTTCATTTCTCTTGGGGAAATACCTAGCGGTGAAATCACTAGATCACATGGGAGTTATATGTTTAACTTTTTAAGAACTGCCAAACTGTTTTCCAAAGCGATTGTACCATTTTACATTCCCTTGAGTTCTGGTTTCTCCACATCTTTCCCAATACTTGTTATCATCACCATTTTAAAATTTTAATCATTCTAGCAAGTGTGTTGCAGTATTTCTTTCTTTCTTTCTTCTTTTTTTTTGAGACAGACTCGCTCTGTCACCCAGGCTGGAGTGCTGGAGTACAGTGGTGCAATCTTGGCTCACTGCAACCTCCAGCTCCTGGGTTCATATGATTCTCCTGCCTCAGCCTCCTGAGTAGCTGCGACTACAGGCGCCTGCCAACACGCCCGGCTAATTTTTGTATTTTTAGTCCTAGACACGGGGTTTCACCATGTTGGCCAGGCTGGTGTCGAACTCCTGACCTCAAGCGATCCACCCGCCTCAGCCTCTCAAAGTGCTGGGATTACAGGTGTGAGCCACCGTGCCTTCATTGTGGTTTTAATTTGTATTTCCCTAATGATGTTGAGTTGCTTTTCATGTACTTATCTGCCATCCACAACATACTGTCTTTGGTGAAGTGTCTGTTCAAATATGTTGCACATTTGTACTGGGTTACCGTATCTCAATGACTGCATTTTAAGAGTTCTTTACATATTCTAGACATAGCTCACTTACAGATGTTTTCTTCTAGTCTTGCCTTTTCATTCTTTTAACAACATCTTTCATCATTCTTTTAACAGCATCTTTCAAAGAACCGAAGTTTTTAATTTTGATGAAGTCCAAATTATTCTTTTACAGATCTTGCTTTTGGTGTCACATCTAAGAAATCTTTGCCTAACTCAAAGTCACAAAGATTTTTTGATCCTGTGTTTTCTTCTAGAAATTTTATGCTTTCAGGTTTTACATTTGTATCTATCATCCATTTTGAGTTAATTTTTATATATGGTACAATATGTAGATTGAAGTTATTTGGTTTTGTTTTCACATATGGATATTCAGTTGTTCCAGTGACTGGGAAAGATAATCATTTCTCCAATGAACTGCCCTCTTGCTTTTGTCAAAAATCAATTGTCCACATATGTGTGGGTCTATTTCTGAACTCTCTATTATGTTCTCATCTATAGGCCTATCTTGATATCAATTCCATACTTTCTTCACTACTGTAACTTTATAATGAATCTTGAAACCAGGTAGTATTTGTCTTCCAAATTCTTTTTCAAAGTCCTTCTACCTATTCTAAATATTTTGCATTTCCATATGAATTTTGCAATCTGATTATCAATTCCTACGAAATAACCTGCTAAGACTGTGATTGGGAGGCACCAAACCCATGGATTATTTTGGAGAGAACCAGTTGTTAATGTTGAGGGGTTTTCTTCTCACAGGCATGGCATCCCTCTCCATTTGACTAAGGCCTTCTTTTGTTTCTCTCCACACTGTCTTAGTTTTCAGTATACAGGTCTTGCACTGGTTTTGTCAAATTTATCCTTAAGTAGTTCACATGTTTTGATGCTACTGCAAATCGCACTGTTTTTTAAATTTCAGTCTCTGGTTGTTCATTGCTAATATGCAGAAACTGAAACTGGTTATCAACACAATTGATTTTTGTACACTGATCTTGTATTCTGCAGCCTTGCTAAAGTTACCAACCTCATAGCTTTTTTTTTATAAAGCTCATCAAATTTTCGACATAGATGACCGTATCATCTGTGAATAAAGACAGTTGTACTTCTTCCTCTCCAATTAAGGTAACTTTTATTGTTTATTTTCATTTTTGCCTTACTGAATTGAGTAGGACCTTCAGAATAATGGTATGCATTGCAATAGTGACCACAAATATTAACAAAAAAGACCTCTTTAATATATTAATTTAAATGGTTAGAAAAGTATAATGACTTTCTGAGAGTGGTCTGACATTTTTAGGGATAATCAAATACACAGCAACTAAAAGAAGAACAGCAAAGTTCATTTTAATTTCCTACTCTGAATGCTTCTCCACTGACAACTATCTCTGGAAGGTTGTGAGGGTCACTGAGGGGATGAAGAAGATGCCATAGAAATTCATTAGGTACAAGACTCTGTTTACTCTGTCAACTTTCACAACTTCTCTTAAGTCAGACAGCTACTATGTTAACTATCTAACAAATTAAATATGTGACAGCGTGTGGTTTGAGGACCAACATTTCCCTCTATCCATACTAACGTGAATGATTCTCTGAAAGTGTATTAATTCAATTTACTGCACTGAGAGTGCAGCTATCAAATAGGTATTTATCACCTTACTTGTGAAAGCAGATAAGCTAAAAAAGAAAAGACTTATTAGAGACTGGTTTCTAAAGATAATATTGCCATTAAACAGAGTATCTGGTATATTTTCAGAAAATGCTCTAATGTTTGCAAATACATCTGTATGCTTTAATAGAAACCATTATTTTTTCCAGAGCTCCTAGAAGCACTGCAGAAAGAATAAGAAACAAGACAATGGAATCGCTTTTTCTTTACTTTTAAGGTGGCAAAGGGTGTATTTTATCAGGCTAATGCCAGTTTTAACACCAACATTTACTTCACCAACTTAGTAGAAAAGCAATGCAAAATATAAACTAGATTTCTGTTGATGACTAAAGGTCACTTTCAGTTAATCTACTTATATCTTTAAATGTTCCAAAGAGTAGAAGGCTACTCCAAATAGACTTGAAATGCTGGTAATAATGCTGAGTTTATAAGCAAAAGTAAATAACAGTAAGATGTGAATGTGATAAGAAATCAAAAATGTTATGCAAGTCATAAATTCAACAACTACTTACTAGGTGTCAGGTATTGTAGTCAAGAAAAGAAAAAGTAACAGTCCCTAGGTCTAATATTTGATGAAGGTATGGTGGGGGCAGAAGAGGATTATACAAGAGAGAAGTGAGGTGACAGAGAAAGCTTCACAGAGGTGCCTGTTATAATCTAGGGAGAAAAAAATTGGTTGCCAGGGGGCGAAAAAACACAATCCAAATAGACTCAGATGGCTGAAGACAACATTTAAAAACAGAATCTCCACAGATAAGTCTAACTTTCCACTATCACCTGGCCAGAATAATGAGCCTACAAAAAACACATAAAGAAATAATTTGGTATTTGACATGGATACTAATAAATATCTTAAAACAAACAAAAAATCTCTAGAAGACCCAAAACGTTTAAAGTGAGAAACTTCAGTGGCAAACACAAAGCATGACGTAAAGAATGACTGTAACAGCAACCACAATACACACTTCCATAGAACATACAGAACTTCCCACATTCCAGGTGTGAAGCACTTTACATACATCAGCTCATGTAATTCTCTCCAGAATCTTCCGACTTACATGTAATTTTTATTATCTTGTCATTTTATAGACAAAAACATTGTGGCTCACGCCTGTAATTCTAGCACTTTGGGAGGCCCGGATGGGAGGATCACTTGAGGCCAAGAGTTTGAGACTAGCCTAGTTAACACAGTGAGATCCCATCTCTAAGAAAAAAATTGTCTAAAGATGAGGCTCAAAGATGTTAAGTAACTCACAGATTAAACAGCGAGTAGGAAAGCTGGGATCTGGATGGGACACTCTGGTGTGGGCATGAAAACACATGGGTTTGGATCTATAGGATATAGTTGTCCTGGTAACACACAGATAAGCATTCATGAGACACTTTACTTCCACACGCAAATCACAATTTCTACCGGAATGACTTAAAATATCCAAGTGAATGAACAAACTATGTCAATGTCTGCAACAACTTGCTTAAATGAGTTTGAAATGATTTTTCTAAATGAGGAATTGTCTGAATACAGAACTTCAGAAATGTAATATTGAGACCAATCTAAAAAGAGTGTTATTTACAAATTATTCATTTGAGTGCAACCTTAAACTCATAAAACAACAATAATCAGAAAGTGACTCGTAAAAAATACATAAATTATGGAAATATTTTGAAATTACATATTTGCTCATCTATTTGGAGGGACAACAGAATTGTAATAAACAAAATACTCTAGCTGGAAGACATTACTCACAGGAAGACTATGTATTGATTATGACATTCACATAATTTTAGACTGGAATGTAGGATATAGTACAGGTAACAATATAAATTATTACTATTGACAATATTAGTTGGGATTTACTGACTACCTACAATGCTCTAGGCACTATGCTAAAGATTTTACATGTATAATCTCATTCAATGTTGAGAAGTATATTATTCTCCACAAAAACAGGTGAGGGGCAAGTTCTAGGAGATTTGCCTGAGGTCACATAGATAGTAAATGGGAAAACTGAGGCTGGTTCGTCCTGCAAATAGCAGTCTGTTTCCTCACTATCATATACAGCTCAACTTCTAGTCGAACTACATCATAATACACACGTTATTAAATATTTTGAAGTTAATACAATGAATTTAAATAATGTGGGTTTACAAAAGTTTTTTTTTTTTAAGAATCTGCCGAAAATTTTCTAAATTTCCATAATTTCTCAACCTAAATAAGTAATTTCATTGCCACAGAGGTCTAATGATCATTTCTGTCAAGGCGGATAAATGATTAGGGGAGGAGAGGGGCATTAAGGGGCCCGAATGTGAAGAAGCAGTATTGGAGTCTCAACTCACGGAGGAGGCTGTATACCAAAATAACAATAAGGAATTTAAAAAGCAAGGGGCCACATTTTCCCTGATGTTTGCTTATTTATCCCAATTCAATGTCCCATTTCCTTTTTCTGTTCAAATGTAAGTAACTTAAGAGACAGGATCTTGTTCTGTTACCCAGGCTGGAGTGCAGTGAAGTGATCACAGCCCACTGCAGCCTCCAACTTCTGCACTCAAGCGATCTTCCCGCCTCAGCCTCCTGAGTAACTGGGACTATGGGCAAGGGCCATCATGCCCGGCTAATTTATTTTATTTTTTTGAGGCAGCATCTTGCTATGTTTGCCCAGGGTAGTCTCAAACTCCTGATCTCAAGTGATCCTCCCACCCCAGCCTCCCAAGTAGCTGGAATTACAGTATAAATGAAATTTTCACATGAATCTATGGTTACATTAATGAGAAATATCAAGTTTAAGTAATGAGAACAGAAGTCAAAAATGTTCTTAGTTTCACTTCGGTAATTTTTCTTAAGTAAAGCTTCCTTAATACAGGTTGATTAGAAACCATGTCTACTAGGTTGTATGACACTTATTTTGAAATAATTTTAGATTTACAGAAGAGTTACAAAAATAGGAACATTCCACCGAGTGCAGCGGCTCGTGCCTATAATCCTAGCACTTGCTGGAGTCTGAGGTGGGAGGATCACTTGAGCCCAGGAGTTTGAGACCAGCCTGAGCAACACAGGGAGACCCTGTCTCTACAAAAAAATTTAAAAATTAGCCAGACGTGTTGGCACACCCCTGAGTCCCAGCTACTAGGGAGGCTGAGGCAGCAGGATTGCTTGAGCCTGGGAGGTTGAAGCTGCAGTTATCAGCGATCACACCACTGCAATCCAGCCTGGGTGACAGAGCAAGACCCTATCTCAAAAAATAATAATAATAAAGTTCCCACATATCCTTCACCCAGCTTCCATAGTATAATGATCAAAGCACAAGACTGAGATTGGTACAACACTATTAACTAAGCTACAGACCCTAGTTGAGTTTCACCATAATAACTATTGTTTAAAAGTAAGCAATTTTTAAACATCAGCTTGACTTTTTACATTAACAGTATTTGTATTATTCTTTAGGATACTCAGTGATACCACTACAAAAACAATCAGGTTGTAATTTCCCAAGTGATTCTTCACTTAATGCTAAAGGCCTATCAGAGGAAGAATAGCATGAAGTAGTTTGGCTCCCCGACCCCCACCCCAAGATAATAGCTATTAGCACCAGTAGTCATAGGCCAGAAAGCCAACACCAGGCACAATACTATGAAGTGGCTGGGAGTCCAACCCCAGACCAAGTGTCTTCTATTTAAAGTATAGCCTGAAGAGAAGGCTTTGTTTTTCACTTTTAAAAGACCCACCCAAATAAGCACTACTGTCTTATGAATAACACACTGAAAATAACTGTTTTGGCTCCAGTGAACAAATACTTACAACTTGGGACTTCTTTAGCTGCTCTATTCAAAAGCAGTTATATGGCTTCCAACCCTACAAGATGATGATATTTTACTATATGCTTTTTATACATGTAGTAAAATAAGTATGTGCACAGAATCATCTACTCAATTCCAAATTAGTAACATCACATGACAAAATTTAAGATAATGGAAAGGATAATGCTTAGTTTTTTCAAACCTAGGCTTGCTCTTGATATCATCCTCTGGGTAGGTCTCACTGCTGTGAGTTTACCACCAGAAGTTTATAACAGATTAAAGACAGGAGACAATGATTTTCGTGCACATACTTTCCATACTGTAGTTGATCAAGCTATTGTGTAGCTTTTGCACATATATTTTTAAAAACAAAGCAACAGCTGCCTATAATTTTATCATTCAATCAGATGAACCATCTCTCTGTGAAGTACTCACATACTACTATGTCTACAAAAGAGATTTCTGATAGCAAGTTCTGAAACTGAAAACAGTATCAAACATAACTGGGAACCACAATTTGGCTTTCATTCCGCCACACCATAGCTCTTGCAATACGAGCTAGTGGCTAAAAGGCTAAAATGAATTTTTCATATAGCACTACTTTTCATAATTAAAAATGGATATACCTAACTGATAATTAGGAATCCCTTATGGTATACAGGCTGACTTGGGTTATAAAGGCAGCTAGACTGAAACTGTTCTGGGATGTGCAAGCAGCATCAATTTTATATGCGTTGATGTGTACCTTGTTTTGGGCAATAATATATGTTGGCTGGTTGAGATATTTAGATATTTGCATTCTAGATAAGTCGGTAAAGATATTAAGAATTTATAAGAAAATCTTGAACTAATGATTGTGCTGGTAATTACAGGCAAAGACATTGATTATTCTTAAGCAAAAGCAAGATGGACTAAAATGCTGGGTTTGCTTAGTAATATTTAGGTTTTAGAGTTTATACAGTGATATTTTTGGAACTGACTGGGCTAGATTTTAGATATGTGGGGGGATATTTATTCTGACTGGGGGTTCTATGAGCTTTCTATCTGTGGTTCTTATTAGTTGTATTAGTCCATTTTCACATCGCTGATGAAGACATACTCAAGACTGGGCAATGTACAAAAGAAAGAGGTTTAATTGGACTTACAGTTTCATATGGCTGGGGAGGCCTCACAATTATGGCAGAAGGCAAGGAGGAGCAAGTCACATTTTATGTGGATGGCGGCAGGCAGAGAGAGACCTTGTGCAGGCAAACTCTTGTTTTTTAAAGCTATCAGATCTTGTGAGACTCATTCACTGTCATGAGAACAGTGCTGGAAAGATCTGCCCCCATAATTCAATCCCCTCCCACTGGGTTCCTCCCCGACACCAGATTCTCCCAGTCTCATGAAATGGTATAACTGCAGACCCTGAGCACTGAGCCTCTTCTAATTCTTGTTTATATTACTAAAAGTATCAGAGAAATTTGTTGTGGGTAGGGTGGTGGTAGACATTTTAACTACTATTAAAACAAGAATCAACAAGAAAAAATGCTATTTATTCTTGAACTTGAAAACATAGCTTTTATGTAGTACTGCACGTTTAAAATACTTATAAAACATAAAAGAGAGATCTAAGTAATTATTATATACATTGAACTATTGATATAAGTGAAGTGATAATGCATTGGTCCCTGATTTCTATGACAAAGCTATGATTTCATCTTAGAAAAGTATTAGCATAATGTTGCTGTCTTACAAAACCAAACTGATTTTATTTTCATTTTGCTTTAAATACTGCTTAGCTTAAAGATTACATCTCATCTAGCTATTGCTTTGTAACACCCTGTAGCTGTAAGCAAAACCACTCGGACCTGACAGTATTCTTAACAGTTCTCCACACTGCAATATAAACTGATGTCTCACACTAAGAAAATAGAAAAAAAAAAAAATGCATTCTCACAGGAAATTTTATCATATCCTTTCATAATATGCTTACTTTTGACTTAAAGCTTGATAAGAAAAGATCTGTATGGTTAAAAAGGGAAAACTCTTTATAGCTGTGAACATACCTTTAAAAGAATGTACAAATAAAACAGTTAACGTAGATACAGTTATCCAACTTTGCATTCAACTTGAAAAAGAATGCTAACCTTCAAACAATTAGCAAATAGTTACATAAACACCTGCTGTGTAAAAGACAGAACCATAAAGAATAAACAGAAGACATAGTTTCTTCCTCCAGTAAGCACCGTCCTGTGGGGAGTTAAACACAAGCACGTGGAAAATTCGGTTCTGGCTGAACTCATTAACTGTGAACTTATCTGTGCTCTCCAGGGTTGGTCTCTGAGAACTGACTCAAGTGAGCACAGTTTAATCCTTGCCCAAGCTCAGCAGATTCAACGGATACTGGGGAGAGGTGGTCTAAGAAATATGCTGGCCAGGCTTTCCTAAGCTACATGTCATCATTAAGGAATCAATGCAATTTACAGAAATGCCTTCAATGAGCTGACTAAATATGACCTCAACTTTTTATCAACTTTTGAGTATACGACAATACAAAAACGTTATGAAACACATCATGTGCGGTGTGCATAATTACATGTAACGTGATTAAGAATATCAAGTCTGGAGTTAGATCTGAACCTGAGTTCAAATCCTGGCTGTACTCCTTAGTACTCCCATGGCCTTGGGCAAGGCGTTCAAACTCTCCTTCCATTTTCACATCTACAGAACAAAGACCAGGCCAGCACCTACTTCACAGGACTGTCATGAAGATGAACAGGAGATGTGTGGGAAGTGTTACTACAGTGCCTGGCACACTGTAGCTTTGAAAAATGTTGGCTGTTCTTGCTTTTATTATGGTTGTTATCATCACTAAAAAATCACCTGGTAACCTGAGTCACCTGTCTGCTACGCAGCACACAGTAAAAGGTGCTCAGGCAACTAGGTGAAAGACAACCTTATTGAGCCCTGCTTCCCTGGTTTTAAGGTGGGGATAACAACAAGGCCCACCTCTCTGGGTTGTCTGTGGTGTGAAGAAGACAGTAACAAATGCATCGTGCTTAACCCAGAGCCTGGCACACAGTGTCTGCTCATCACACCACTGATGTCGTAAATAATTATTCCAATGATGTAAGTGCATAACTAAATAAACTAATTTATTAAAATACCAGTACGGAAATAAATAGGTGTTATGATTACAGAGGAGGGAGGAGGGGAAAGTCCTACTTTGGAGAGGGGTAGACCGGGAACGTCTCTCTGAGGTGACATGTGATCTAAGGCCTGAGTAATGGGGAAAGAGGAGACATGAGAGAGGTATGGGGAAGGGGGATGGAGAGAGGCCTAGGGAAAGAGCTGGAATGAATGCTCCATGGGGTCAGTTGTGTCAGTCCTCTTCATCACTGTATCCCCAGACCCTGGAAAATGCCTGGCACGTAATAGACACTCGGTAATGACATATACACTATTTATATATTTCAAAACATCATGCTGCACACCTTAAATATACAGATATTATTTGTCAATTTTCAAAAATATGAAAAAAATCAAAATTAAAAAAATTATCACACATAAAAAATGATGTATATAGAATGAAGGAAGAAAGAATATTTCTAGCAGGGAGATCTACAAATGTAAAGGCCTTGGTACATCTCAAAAAAAAAAACAAAAAACAAAAAACAAAAAACGAGGGGAGGCGCTAGGCAGCAGCACAGTCAGCGCAACGTGGCCGGGCACAGCGGGTGAGTGGCACGGGATAAGGCTGAGGCAGACAGAGGCCAGATTACAGAGTGCCTTGCCAGCCAGAGCTTAAGCTCTGGGTTTATTTTTCTTTTAACGAGATGCCACTGACAGGTTTTAGCAAGGAATAGTATGGTCTAATTTCTTTTTCTTATTTTTTTAAGAGACAGGGTCTCACTCTGTCGCCCAGGTTGTGAGCTCAAGTAAGTCTCCCACCTCAGCCTCCCACATAGTTGGGACTACAGGTATGCACCACCAATCCCAGATAATTTTTTTTTTTAATTTTTGTAGAGATGGAGTCTATGTTGCCCAGGCTGGTCTCAAACTCCTGAGCTCAGGTGATCTTCCAGCCTATGCCTCTCAAAGTGCTGGGATTACAGGCATGAGCCACTGTGCCTGACCTAATTCATTTCTTTAAAAGATCACTCTGGCTGCTGTGTGAAGAAGATATTTTGGGAAAGCCTGAGTGAAATGAGGGAGACCACTGGAGAGGCCAGTGTAGCAATTCAAACAAGGGGTGTTAGAGGCTTGAACTAGAACAGTGAACTTGTTGATGGGCTAGATGATGAAGGATAAAAGAATACAACTCTGGAATCATTCTTAAGTTTCTATTTGAGCAAGCATAAGACAACTTTGCTATTTACTGAGAAGTGGACCAACTAGGAAGGAACAGATTGGGAAGAAGACAAATAAAAACTGACAGTTCTGTTCTGACCTAGCCACTCAGAGACATCCTGAGTGAGGATGTCAACTAGGCAGCTGGTGATCTGAGGCTGCCACTCAGAGGAAGGGGCTTGCCATGGAGCTATAAACATGCAAGTTGGTATAAAGATGGTATCCAAAGTCAAAGGATAAGATAGAATAGCAAGCTACAGGTCTTTGTCAGATAATAAAAACCATGAAATCTATCATGCTTCTCTTCTTGTTGGGCTGCCAGAAAGTTCCAAAGTAAATATAAATCTTCAAGGAAAATTATCTTCTCTAAGACTTTGGATATGATAATCTACCGCTTTTGCTTCCCCATCTCTTTATGGTGTCTTGTCCTCTTTCATCTAAAACATACTTTTGTAAGCATATGTATAATAAAGAAAAGAAAAACAAAGGAAATGATGTAGCACAGTAACAGGATTTGGGGAGCAAGTATTCTGCAATAAGAGACACATTACATTTAAGTTATCAACGAGTTGGGTGCCACTCTGACGGACTCTCAGCTCCTCAAGGGCATTAAGCCATTTCTTATTCATCTTTGCATTCTTGTGACATGCAACCATATCCAGCTCAGAGTAGACAGGCACCAGAGCTGCAATGACAGCAGGTATCATTTACTTGTAAATTGAAGGGGTTAAGGCCTTATCTGAACACTATAAGATGTTTTAAACACAATATGGTGGGTGATTAAATACGAGTCAGTGACACAGACAAATCTGTGGTAAGGGCAATTCTTCAAGGCCTTCATTAGAAGACTTCAAGCAGGAGATCAAACACTGAATTGAGATTTGAGTGATGCATCACTTTTGGATCCTTGGAAGCATACTTCAGAAAGGAGTCAGAGAACAGAGAAGGGGAGAACATATTTAGAGGCAGTAAGGAGGCTATTCTGGCTGGAGGGGAAGAATTTTGTGTGTGCGTGTGGGTGTGCGCGCACGCGCGCGCTCACACACACACACACACACACAGAGTATAGGGCAGAAGCTGAAAAAACCAGTCAAGGACAGGGTGTTGAGAAACTTGAATGCCAAGAACTTAATGTTTTAGAGTTTTAGAAAGTTATATGTTCCTGAGAACCTAAGTGTTACTGAAAGAAAAGTTTAAGGAAGATCAGACACATCCAAAATGTAGAATGGATAAGAAGAGAGCCTATTAGGATGTGGGAAAACATAAGGTACTAAGAATCAGGTGAAATGTGGCCACAAATTCCCAACAGTGAAGTCAACAAAATTTGTTGAGTAATGTGATATAGAGAAAGAGCAAGAAGGGAATCAAATTTTAATCTGAGACTTGAGACCAGGTGGCCAGGAGAATACTGATTAACAGAAATGGGAGACAGCAGGAAGACATGATTTTACAAGAAAGATGATGACTTTTAGACAGAGTTGAATTTAAGGTAACAGTGGCCACCACCACCTCCAGCCCCTTACTCCCTGCAGTGCCATGTGATGCAATCTGCTAGTCTTGGCTAAGAAAAATTTTCCTGAATGGTATTCCCACATAAACACAAATAAACACAGTGGAGAAATCCTTTCATATAATACAATCTCCTTCTATAGCTGCAAACTCAAGTTTAAATAGATAAAATTGTAAACACAAAAATAAAAAAGTTCCAAAAACTGTCTACTTCTACAAAAGCACTGTGATTGTACGTTCAGATGTTTAAAAAACAGTATTATATGAAAAGATGCTCAACATTATTTAGTCATGAGGGAACTAGAAATTAAAACCCCAATGAGACACCAATTCACAAGTACTAGAATGGCTGGAAAAAAAATTTAACCTAATAGTAACAAGAAATGACATGGATGTAGAGCAACTAGAACTCTCATACACTGTTGGTGGGAATGCAAACTGGTACAGCCACTTTGGAAAACACCTTGACAGTTTGTTTCTTATAAAATTAAACATACACCTTCTGTATGACCCAGGGATGCTACTCCTGGCCTCTGACCCTAGAGAAGTAAAAACCTACATCCATACCAATACTATATGCAAATACTTACGACAGCTTTATTTATAATCATCAAAAACTGGAAAACAACTCAATGTATATAAACTAGTGAATAAATTGTAGCATATCCATACACATATGGAATACTACAAAGTAATAAAACAAACTACTGGTACAAGCAACAACAGGAAAGCATCTCAAAAATATTACATTAAGTAAAAAAAAAAGCAAAGCACAAGATGGTATAATAGTACCCTGTATCTATTTCTATGATGTTCTGGAAAAGAGAAGACTACAGAACAGTGGCTCACAGGGGCTGTGGGTACAGAAAGGGCACTGACGGCATGAGGGAACTTTCTGGGTTGATGGAAATTTGGTGGTGGTTATAAACATTTATTGAAACTCACAAAAATGTACAGGTATAAAGGGTGAGTTTTATCATATGTAAAGCGTTCCTCAAGAAACGACTTGACAGAAAAAAAAATGGCAGCATCTTAACATTTGCTCAAAGAGAATTTTTAAATCTTAGCATTGTCATCTATGATTACTCTGAAAAATTCTGGACATTTCTTAACTAGCTAGAATTCTACAAATGTCCTTAATATTGAAAAGAAATAAACACTATGCTTTTTCCTTCTTTAGGCCTCAAAACATTCCTTTGCAGAATTAGGGCATAAGGATGTTAGAGTGTGCAGAAACTGTGTGAATGCTGGTTATTGAGACACTAATAAAGTAAGTCTTGTTTGCTGGACAGCTGTTGGCTTCATTGTTCTTTTGTCACACACTAAAAAGGAGAGCTGTTATACTAATGGAACGTGACCTTCTCATTGGATAGCTGTTACATCATGCCCTGAAACACTGCCAGAGAACTCTATTTTCACCACGCACCACATAGGAAACAGTAAAACAAACAAACAAGACAACAAAAGAGCCAAAAAACTATATTAAATGAGCAATACTACGCCTTAAAATCAGATCACTTATAAGAAATACTTCTTGATACTTAACATCTCATAATTTACTTTGTTAATGAGTAATGTTTTTTCTCAATTTAGTATCCTTTAGTATATACCTCAACAATTTATTTCCAAGTACAAATAATTTTTATGATACTCTTCAAAATGCATTTTGTATGAGCACTCCATGACTAGTCAATCTATAAAATTATGAGAGTAACTCCTTTATTTTTGTATTAGCTAATGCCTACCTAGATTATTTTATAGCCTGGTCATTTATGAACCATTTTCACTAGAACAAGGGCTTTCAAAGTTTTTGGACCATTATCCACAGCGAGAAATACATTTTACATTGCAACCTAGATACATATGTGTGTGCACGCATGCATAACATTCATTGAGGTCTTACAAAATAAGACTTACTCTTACCACGTAAGATGCCCTCTACTATATTCTTCTTGATTATGGTCTTTAAAATGCTGACAAAGACCCACACAATTTATATCATGGCCCACAGTTTTCAGTATCACTGCACCAGAAAGTGAAAAACCAATGTAACATCTCTGCATGTTTTGAATGTAGGCTTTTTAAAATGTCTTTTGCTGTTGTTGTTGTTGTTGTTGAAGTTCCAGGGTATGTGTGCAGGATGTGCAAGTTTGTTACACAGGTAAATGTGACCCATGGTGGTTTGTTGCATGTATCAACCCATCAGCTAAGTATTAAGCCCAGCATGTGTTAGCTATTTTTCCTGATGCTCTCCTTCCCCCTGCACCCCACAACAGGCCCCAGTCATTGTGTGTTGTTCTTCTGTGTCCATGTATTCTCCTTGCTCAGCTCCCACTTATAAGTGAGAACATGCAGTGTTTGCTTTTCTGTTCCTGCATTAGTTTGCTGAGGATAATGGCTTCCAGCTCCATCCATGTCCCTACAAAGAACATAATCTCATTTCCTTTTTATGGCTGCATAGTATTCCGTGGTGTGTATGTACCACATTTTCTTTATGCAGTCTATCATTGATGGGCATTTGGGTTGATTCCATGTCTTTGCTATTATAAATAGTGCTGCAATGAATATATGTATGTATGTATCTTTATAACAGAATGATTTATATTCCTTTGGGTATATACCCAGTAATGGGATTGCTGGGTCAAATGGTATTTCTGGTTCTACGTCTTTGAGAAATCGCCACACTGTCTTCCACAATGGTTGAACTAATTTACATTCCCACCAACAGTGTAAAAGCGTTCCTTTTTCTCCAAAGCCTCACCAGCATCTGTTGTTTCTTGACTTTTTAATAATCGCCATTGTGACTGGTGTGAGACGGTATCTCATTGTGGTTTTGATTTGCATTTCTCTAATAATCAGTGATGTTGAGCTTTTTCTCATATGTTTGTTGCCTGCATGAAAGTCTTCTCTTGAGAAGTGTCTGTTCATGTCCTTCGCTCACTTTTTAATGGGATTCTTTGTTTTTTTCTTGTAAATTCATTTCAGTTCCTTGTGGACTCTGGATATTAGACCTTTGTCAGATGAATAGGTTGCAAAAATTTCCTCCCGTTCTGTAGGTAGTCTGAACGCTCTGATGATAGTTTCTTTTGCTGTGCAGAAGCTCTTTAGTTTAATTAGATCCCATTTGTCAATTTTGGCTTTTGTTGCAATTGCTTTTGATGTTTTCGTCATGAAATATTTGCCCATGTCCATGTCCTTAATGGTTAAAACATGTTGTTTTTTTTTTAAATAGCTCACTGACCTTCCCCAAGGTTGTCTGACAACTCACCACACTCTGCTCCTTCCCTCTGGAGGCTCCTAGTCCTGGCTGGAGTGAGCAACCAAGACGGAAGGGACAGTCAGAGCCCTAAGACCCTGCTGCTCCCCATCCAAGTGGTCCTTACACAGGGTGCTAGGGGAGCTGGTCCTTCTCAGTCTTCAAGTATTCAAGGCTTTGCATTTTTCCTCTTCCATTTACCCTCACTGTTAGTCTTTAACTTCTAAACACACACACACACACACACACACACACACACACACACACACACACGCACACAGCAAAATGAAATTTAACGGTGGAGAAAGAATGGCAATATGGAAAAAAGTAAACCTAAGTTTTTTCTTATTATCTGTGGATTTCAGTGCCACCTGCTATGCCTATTTCCTAGGAGCACAGCCACCTGAACAAGTTTAAAAGGCTGAAATGGCATGTAAATCACACATAAAATATATTTTCAACTGCTAATAGGTTTGAGTTGCTGAACTTCTAGTCAACATTATGTTCTACTCTTCCACACTCAAACTATTAGGTATGTTATAATTAGAGACAAATTTTATGTGAAGACTGAGAAACTTACTTTTAAGGACTCCCATAAGGGAAACTGGACCAAAGAAAAAGGAATCTGAAGAGAGAAAAAAAAAATTAAATAAATTAGGCAAAAAAGAGCCAAGTTTGCCTGTATGACTATACGAGCCTGTAAATATTATTTCAACTTTATAACAAAGCTAATATCAAACAAATTCACAGTTATAGTAGACATAATGTTTAGAAAAAGAGTTAAACTGTGGCCTGTAGATTTTCATTTTTTGTTGGGAGGAAGTCTCGCTCTGTCACTCAGGCTGACAGATCACCACCCTCGACCTCCCAGGCTCACGAGATTTTCCCACCTCAGCCATCAGAGTAGCTGGGACTACAGGCACACGCCACCACACCCAGCTAATTTTTGTATATTTTCTTTAGAGATGGGGTTTCACCATGTTGCCCAGGTTGGTCTCAAACTTGAGGGCTCAAGCAATCCACCTGACTTGGCCTCCAAAAGTGCTGGGATTACAGGCGTGAGCCACTGAGCCTGGTGATCTTCTGAGTTTTTGAGCCCAAGGGACATAAAATGATGTTGTGAATCCCCTTTGAAATGGAAACAGAAGCACAATAGTCTGGCTACTGAAATGACAAAATAAATATTTCCCAGCATAATAAAAACACTTTAGGACGTGACATTTCTGTGCTTAAGAGCCAAGGCTGTCTACTCCTTAGCAGGCAGTGTTAGGATTTAAAGGAGAAACACAGAGGAGAGAGAAGGAAGGTAAGGGGTGGTGGGAGAGAAGTGTTAGGGGAATGGGGAGACAACAGAGCAGAGAGAGGGAGCAGGAAGAGAAGGGGAGAGAGAAAGGAGTGGAAGAAAAGGAAAGAAAGTGGAGAGAGGAAAAGAGATGGGTAAAAAAGGAAGCAGGAAGGAGGGGAAAGAAAGCAGGGAGGTAGAGGGTAGGGGGGCAGAGAGGAGGAGGACAGAAGACAGAAGACGGGGCAGAGAAGGAAAGGAGAGGGAGAAAAGAGGAGGGAGGAGACTGGAGAGAGGGCAAGGGCAGGTGGAGGGAAAAAAGAGGCAAGGAAGAAAGAGGAAGCAGACAGAGCTACTTGCAAGAGTCAAACTTGAGAAACAGGTCTCCAGGAACAGAGCAGCCAGTGGGAAGCTCGCACCCTTCAAGGAAGAATCACCAAATCAGTCAATGCTAGGGGAGTGGAGAGGGTCTAACAAAACACAGGGGGACGTGGGTCTGAGCACTGATCACGTCCCAGGCACAGCTAGGGAGGAGAGTCATGCGTAGTAATGAAGTATGAGTGGTCAAGAGAATCACCACACTTAGAGTTAGGTATTTACGATGAGCTGTCTAACAGTAAGGGCTAGAACTATCAACACTTCTCATGTGCCAGGTACTCTGCAAATATGCACTTTGTAAGCTTTATTTCACTGAATCCTCACAACACATGCTGAGACAGTTAGGGAGTATTACTTCCTTCATTTTATAGTTGATGAGACTGAGGTTCAAAGACGCTGTGTAACGCCTAAAGGCAGTTAGGAGGTAAGAAGCCCAGACAATCTGACTCTAGAGTCTTGTCTAACTACTACTATCCCCAGGAGACATCTAAATTATCTGCATATAAATTCACCCACAGTACAATCTGTTATTAATTTTCTGAAATTCAAACTTAAGACACCCATGTCATATTTCCTAAGATAAAAATGTCTTAACACCAGTGGACCCCACCCAGCAGCTGAAGTAATGTCCAGTCACAGCCCAGGGGACCAGTGCTGGTGGTGGCGATGCCCACGAACACGCACACGCCACGGGCCCAGTACTGGCACTGCACAGGCAGCCCAGCTGCAAGGGAAAAGTAAATGTGGACTTTGAACATTATCATTATCACTACATGTGGGTGGGTGTAAATGTCCCAGTTTCAGAGGAATTAATGGGTATTTACCTTCACGTGAATTGAGGGCATTGTTATGTCTTTTTTTTTTTTGAGACAGAGTCTTGCTTTGTCGGTCAGGCGGGAGTGCAGTGGCACGATCTCAGCTCACTGCAACCTCCATCTCCTGGGCTCAAGCAATTCTCCTGTCTCAGCCTCCCGAGTAGTTGGGATTACAGGTATGTGCCACCACGCCTGGCTAATTTTTGTATTTTTAGTAGAGACGGGGTTTCACCATGTTAGCCAGGCTGGTCTCGAACTCCTGACCTCAGGTGATCCGCCCACCTTGGCCTGGTATTGTTATTTCCTAAATATTTATATTTAATCAGAAATTTAAAGATTAGCATCATCTGTCTTACTCAGCTACAGCAAATGATGGCCCCAAGTTTGACAGACAGTGACCACAGAAAGAAAATCTGTCTACCATTCAGGAAGGAAATGTCAATGAGAAGAAAAGATCAATGTCAATAGCCTGGACTAATTTGACAAGCTAGAATCTCAGAGAAGTTTGTTATCATCATAAACAGGCAGCCAGCCCCCCCGAATGTCGAAGTTCCATAACAGTAGTTAAATAGAGTTTTTTATTGTCACAAAAACATAAAAGCATCTGACATTATCCATTCTGAAACTCAAGCATTATATTTCCAATTAATTATCAAAACAATAACTTGACTGTGTAATAGGTTTCTAAAAGCTTTTCTAAATGTTTTAAACTTTATAATATGTAATAAAATATGCCCCAAAAGACTGACAGTATGATTATGGATTAGTAAGAAGGTAAATATTTCATAAGATGAAAAAAGATTTAAAATTTACTCTAACAATCCCATTGGCATCATTCATTTCTCAATTAAAATCACCTACAAATTGCACTGAATGTTATCTGCTCTTACTTGGTACTTAATACTTTAGATTTTGAATTCTATCATTAAACATTTTGCCCATTTCCTCTAATGAAAGTTATTCATTGAGCTGCTCCTTCAGTTTAAAGAAATAATTTTAAAATCACACATTTGGAATGGCCATACTATTCCACTGGGTATTTAGTTTAAAAAGGGAGCGACAGTAAACCCCAGCTTTACTCTCTAAAACAAGACTGACAGTCTAAAGTAATTAAATATGCTATAAATGCCTAAATAATTAAATTTGCTTCTGACTTCTAGTAGTGAAATAGCCCTCATAAATTCCTGTGTGAAAATTTTTCAAATATTCTTCAAGTCAAAATTGTATCACACACATGTTGTCATTTACAATATGAACAAACAATAATGAAAATGTGTTCCACACATGTGAAAGATGGGCTGCCAGCAAATACAGCTCCATAGCTAAAACAAACACTTTTCCCAACGTCTACAGAACGTGGGCCCGTCAGAAAGCTAGCTCCCTCCCCGCGTCTGGCTTGAAGTTACATAACAGTGATTGTTTCTTCAAAACGTGGAATTTTATACCCCCAAACAGATGTAGGCTGTTATTCTAAAATGTTTTATAGATGAAGAAAATGAATAGCTGCACTCAGAGCTCTTATATTCCAAAACACAACATACCCATTTTATTGCACCTAAAGTTACAAAATGGCTCACTGTTGTGACCTGTTTAATGCCTCCATTTAAGATGTTTTGTTTGAATAAGGTTGTTAAGACCCAGGGCACTAATAAGTGAGCGGCAGTAAACCCAGCTACCATCAAAGACACAGATGGAGGGGGAAAAAGCCTGCCAAAATTCAACATGGATTCCACTTAGTAATAAACAGAGCAATAATTCTATACAAGAGTGCATGTGAGGATTCGAGGTGAAATAGGGATAAAATGAAATCTGGGTGTGGTAAACAGGAAGGGCATGTTAGGCATCACTAATGAAATAAAGAACAAAATTACATTATGAGCACACTTCACCTATCACAAAGTGTAGGACTAGAATTATCTTTGAAGCCAATCAATGCTTCTATCCCTGTAATCTTAAAATAAATGTAACCTAATGGTCCTTCAATAAACAGCAAAGTGATTTAGAATACAACTGAAGAGATATGAAGATATTATTTCTAAGGTATCATTTAGCCCTAACATTCTATTTTCAATTAAAAAATTACATTACAATACCAATATATTTTTTAAAAATAAGTAAGACTTGACTGTAAGCTGCAATGAACATAATGCCACCACGGGTGATCTAGGAAGCCTAAGGACCAAGAAAGGCCATCTAAAAAGCTGTAAAAGCTTTCGTCATTGGCAGAAATAACCCAGAACTCTCTAGCAATACGTTTAAAAAACACAGAAACCGTGTGCAAGACCTCTAGTTGAAGAACAGCATGGAATTGGTAGGCCTGCCATGTATAGCAGAGTGGATCCAAGGACTGGCCCATTGCAATTTTCAAGAGATCTACAGGTGATTCACAGAAGGGTCTCCTTTTTCTTGCATGATGATTTCCAAATTCTAGTGGTTTAGAGTTTTCCATTCTACTGTCCCACCGACAACAAAACCATTCTTTTAAATACTCTGAACCTTTTCCAATTCAACCCCAGGGGTAACCAAGGACAAATGAAGTTGAAGACCTAAAAATTCCTTGTCCCATAGTGATAATTATTCTTAAAAAAACAACAACAAAAGTAAGAACCATTCAAAGCTAGTCTGCTAGTATTAAACATAGCAGGAAAGAATTCCAATAGTAAATACATTCTGATTTTTTTAATTTAACAACTACAGTTCATTTATTTACACCGTACATAAAGAAAAGAGCATATACCCAATAAAAGAAATTAACCTAAAAGGAGGAAAATTGAAAGTGAATTACTCCTTAGGTTAATAAAAACATATTAACATTCCTAAAGCATCTTTCCAAAGAAAACATAAAATAAACACATGAGTAAAAGAATCTAACAGAGAAAAGCAGATGAGTGTGAACAGTTTGACTGTTAAGTAAATCTTTCAGATTTCAAGGCCAGGGGCATTAGGAGTATCTCCAAACACAACTCAGTACATTAGTCATAAATGCTATCACTGAAGGTAATGATTAGATTTTCTTTTTCCACATTCTACAGAATCATCACAGTAATTTTGTGTAGATGGAAGTGGCTCCTAATGTATCACTTTACATGTTAGAGTGCCAATTAAATAACACTATTTTGTAATGAAGATAATGGCAATGTCAAATTAGTCTGTAATTCACTATACTTCTAAAGCCCTGGAAACAAGTTTCACTGTTTTTAAGAAGTATTTAAATATTTGACACTGACTTATGATAAAAATGCTCATCAAAATAAGAATGGGAAGGAACTTCCTCAATCTGATAAAATATACCTCCAACAATGTATGGCTAATATCATTCTTAATGGTGACAGACTGAATGCTTTCCCCTTAAGATCATGAATAAGGTAAGGATGTTTATTTTCACCACTTCTATTCAACATTGTGTTGAAGGTCCTAGTCAATGCAATCAGGCAAGAAAAACAAATAAAAATATAAAAGAAATAAAAAGCAAAGACTGAAAAGAAGTAAAACTGTCCCCATTTACAAATGACATGATTGTTTTTGCTGAGAATCTTAAGGAATCAACACACACACACACATTCTCTCTCTCTCCAACAGAATTTCTAAATAGTAGCAGCAAATAAATGAAAAACGACTTTTTTTTTACAAAAAATTATATTTACAATATTATCAAAACCTGAGTCAAAAAGTTACATAAAAATGACAAGGACGTGGAATAACCAAAACAATCTTGAAAGATGTAATAAAGGTGGAGTATTGACAATATTTGATTTCAAGATTTACTCTAAAACTACTATAATCAAAACAGTGATCAGAGTAACAAGGCGTAAGGATAAACAATGAAACAGAGGAGAGTGTTCATAAACAATATTTTCAATAAATGGCACTGAAACAACTGAATATCCACAGCATAAAAATAAGCCTTGACCCCAACCTCAAAACCCTACACAAAAATTAATGAGAGCTGGATCACAGACCTAAAGATAAAAGCTCAATCCATAAAGCTTTTAAAAGAAAACGTGTGAGAACGGGTGGTCCGTGGATAGGAGGAAATTTCTGGGACCACAAGACGCAATAACCACAAAAGAAAAAAAACTTTAGAAAAATTAATTTACATCAAATTTTAAAACTTCTGCTCATCGAAAGGTACTGTTAAGAAAAATCCCAGTGGAATATTCTGCACAAATAGAAAAATCCAAAATCCACCACCAAAATTCATATGGACCTCAAGGTACCCCAATGAAAGCTGGAGGTCTCATACTTTCTGATTTCAAAAGTAGCTACAATGAACAAAACTGTGTTGTAGTGGCATCAAGACAGACATATAGACCAGTGAAATAAAACAGCCCAGAAATAAGACTTCACATATATGGTTAAACAATCTTCGAAAAGGGTGCCAGACCATTCAACAGCGAAAGGACAATCTTTTCAACAAACGATATTGGGAAAAATGGATGTCCAGATGGAAAAGAATGAGCCTGGACCCTTACCTCATAACCCTATATAAAAATTAAAGTGGATGAAAGAACTAAACATAAGACCTAAAACCACAAAACCCCTAGAAGAAAACACAGGGAAAATCTTCATAACATTAGATTTGGCAATGATTTCTTGGATATGACACAAAAAGCAAGGCAACAAAAGCAAAAAGAAATAAATGGGACTACATCAAAATTAAAAACATATGTGCATCAATGAATGCAATTAACAGCATAAAAAGACAACCTATGGAATAAGAGAAAATATTTGCAAATCATGTATCTGATAAGGGGTTAATATCCAGAATATATAAAGCATTCAACAAAACAACCAGATTTTAAAAAAGCAAAGAATTTAAATAGACATCATTCTAGAGAAGATGCACAAATAGACAACAAGCATATAAAAAGATGTTTATCATCACTATCATTAGGGAAATGCAAATAAAAACCATGATGAGATACAAACTCCCACCCTTTAGGAGGGCTACTAGCAACAAAAACAGAAAATAACAAGTGCTGGCAAGGATATGAAAAAAATGAAACCCTTGTTCACTGTTGGTGAACAAGGGATATGCAAGGCTGCAGTCACTTGAAAACAGTATGGCTCTTCTTCAAAAAAATTAAGTGGTAGAATTACCATAAAATCCAGCAATTCCATTTCTAGGTATAAACCTAATAAAAAGGCAAGCCACAGAGTGGAATATTTGCAAAATGTGTATTTAACAAAGGACTTGCGTTTAAAATATAAAAAGAACTTTCAAACCTCAACAATAAAAAGAAAGCTTGATTTTTAAAATGTGCACAAGACTTGAAGAAGCACTTCACAAAGGAAGATCAGTAACATAAGCACCTGATTCAACATCATTAGTCATCAGGGAAATGCTGAATAAAATCCACTGATAAAACAATTTGATGGTTCCTTAAAAAGTTAAACACAGAATGACCTTATGATCCAGCAATTTTGCTCCCGGGTATACAGCCAAAATAACTGAAAACAGACTCAAACAGACACTTGCATCCCAGCCTGCAGCATAAGTCACAACAGCTGAACATTCTAAGTACATTAACACATAAATGAATAAATAAAATATGGTATATACATACAACGGGATGGAGTATTATTCAGCCATAAAAAGGAATAAAGTTCCGATACATGCCACACTATGGATAAACTCTGAAAACACCATGCCAGGTAAAATAAGCCAGACATAAAAGAACAACTAATGTATGATTATAATCATATGAAATATCTAGAACAGGCAAATTCATAGAGATAGAAGCTACATTAGAAGTTGTAGTTTGTGTGGGAACTGCGTTAGAAGCTGTAGTTTGGCTAGGGGAAGGGGAAAGCAGGAAGCTCTGTACTTAATGATACAACCTTTCTGTCTGAAGTGATAAAAAGGTTTTAGGAATAGATAGTAATGACTGTTACACAACACTGTGAATGTAATTAATGATACTGAATCTTACACTTTAAATGTTTAAAATGGCAAATATTATGATTATGGTAGTGGCAATTTTACCACGATATAAAAATTTTTTTTTAGAAGCCGCAATGAGGTGCTGTTATCCACTAAAATGGCAGAAATCAAAAGACTGAGAAAACCAAACAACTGAAAGGATATGGAGCAACCACAACTTTCATACTTTGCTAGTGGGAACGTACAACTTTGAAAGGTGGTTTTTTGAAAGAGAAATTTTACTCCTAGGTATTTATCCAAGAGCAATGACAATATATGTCCACAAAAAGATTTATACATTAATGTCACAACAGCTTTAATCACAACAGCTAACGTCCATCAATAAGAGAAGGGCTAAACAAATTGTGGTGTATTCATATAAAGGAATATTAGTAATACAATGAAAAAAATTATTGATACATTGCTGTAACATGGACAACCCTTACACAGGTTATACTGAGCAAAAGAAGAAACAAAAAGAGTGCAGACTATATGATTCTATTCATATAAAATTCCAGAAAAGGCAAAAATAACCTGGGCAGGCAGAATGGGACTGAAGATGAGAGAACTTTCTGGGAATAGGGAAATATTCAATATCATAAGGATATGGGGATTACACGACTATACATTTGTCAAAAGTGTACATATATAATTTGTGCATTTCAATATATATGAATTTTACCTAAAAATGTACTGTAAAAAATATAATAGTAGTCAAGGTGAAGAATGAGCATAGACATAAATGAAATAAAAATGGCAGAATATTGATAGCTTTTGCAGGTTGGTGATGGGTACTGCATGGTTCATTATATTATAAACTCTGTTTACTTTCTGTACATCTGAAATTTTCCATAATAAAAAATAAGTGTATGTGTAAAGCATGACTACATTTGCATTATTAAAATTAATATACAGAAGTTCAACCAAAGTTAACTGTCATTAACAATTTGGAATAAATCTTCTGATTTATCTCAACACATTTAGTTTTAGGTTTTAATTTCTGGGGGTTTGTTTTAAACATTAGCATGTGTTCCAAAATTTGATTTTTTCCCCCTAAACAATATCTTAGATATTTCCATGTTGATTAATATATTAATAGATCTATCATTCTTTCTAATGCAGAGAATTTCATAATATTTAACTGTCCCTCATTGATGGCTTATTTCTATTTTTCTTCCTCATAAAACACAACTTTTGTTTAATCAATCATTTCTAATGTGTAGGACATTCTAGCTGTATCATACAGTCTGTAAATATTCCTCAACATACCTCACACTAACATGGTAGGCTAAGACCAAGCGTTAACATTTTCACAGTACAGTCATCCTTAGAAAATGCCCAGTGTGAACATCTGGGTATATCAGAACACAAAGAAATCTGCTGCTGTTGGGTATCAAGTTTAACAAATCAATCAAAATGAAAAATCACAAAATTACACTGGCTTTCACAGTTGAAGTGAGTGACTGTAATGCAAAATTCAATTTAAACTGATCCCCTAGCTAATGTTCAATATTTGCTTTTAGATTTCATCCTATTTCCAGGAGTCTGTAAGCATTACTGATACAGTGCAATTATGGTATCAAGATTTTCCAACACATGTCTGATTTAGCAAAATATAAAATACGATGTCACAGTAGATACAAGTTGTACCTCACCTAAAAATAAAGTTTTAAAAAGGAACAATTTTTGCTAGTTGAGGTTCTTAATAAAAGCAGGAACACTTGAAAAGTTCTTAAAAATCTATTACTAATTCTACACACACACACATATACATATGTTCCACTTATTTTCATTGGCTTCCTGGAATGAACTCTGTATCACACCACAATTTTTAAAGTTGTCACTCGGCAATCAGGATGATTCTTGTTCATGAAACCTGAAAACTTCTTGTATGTAAGAAGCAATCCAGGAAGTTCATTTTTGGTTATTCACAGTCATTTCCAGTATGTTAAGCAGTACTGACTTCAGTCCTTTAAGAAAATAGCCAGGCAGTAGTTGAGGAAGGTAAACTTAAGACTCAGAAATTCCAAAACCAGAATTCCTATCAAAACGTTAGAACTCGCACAGGGTCAGGAAACAGATGTTTTTAGTTAGAATTTGCATGCAACTTTAATCTTTTATCAAATATAATCCGGTTGCCTTAAGATTTTTTTCTTGCAGCTGAGAATGACATCACTGTGTACAGTTCCATTGTCTTTCCCACCCCCAACTTTCCTTCCCTTTCAGCAGCACATTTTAGCATCTCTTTACTGAGATAACAAAGAGGGGAGAGGAAAAATGAATGACCAATGCGTCAAGAAACACAACAATAAAAGGTAGATTTTATTTTACTTATTATTCTATCAAATGTCCTTGTTAACAAAGGCATATGCTTATTTATCCAGGCTTTCCCTATTTCTGAGCAATTTTTCTGGTACCAAAGATGTTTTAATTGATGGTTTCCCAAATTCTAAAAAATAACATTTTAAAACCTAGCCAGGAACAAGAAAGGTTCTCATCTAATATTCAAATCATTTGTATAGATACATCCTCTGTGCATTTACGCAAAATTACAATTAGAAAAGAATCATGAAAAACATTAATAAAAAGCAGCTTGTTGGGTGGTTAAGGCCCTGTGAACAGCTCCATAGCTTCCTCCTTTCTCACCTGCCTACTCATCTACTCTCCTTCCTTCCTCCCTCCTTCCCTCCCCACCACCACCAACTTTCCCATAACAATCCAGTATTAAAAGCACCTTTGAAAGCAGCCCTGTTAACAAAAGATGGCAACCAGGAGGCTTAGTAGTAATGCAGCATGGACCAATTTATACTGCTGTATGGTCGGAAGACAGAAGGGGCTGAGGAATAGAAGAGAAGACAGTAAGCTTGATAAGGCAGGCAGGGGAGGTGTCTGGCTTACTTCTCATCACATCCAGCATCTCACCTAACAGGACACTCGATACGTATTTCTTACATCAGTGAATGGAGGAAAGGCAAAGAAAGGGATGAAGAAAAGGGAGGGGATAAGGCTAAAAGAGTTAGGGGAGAACCCGGGTCTTGTGGCTCATGGTCCAAGGAATAATATTACTGTTTCTACTCATCTACTGCTGATTTACAATATTTGTTAGAACAGTGTGTTGAGAGCAGAATACTAAGACCAAAGAAAAGTGAATATCAATTATATACAAAAAGGATAAAACACAAAAATAAATCCCATTCTTTACATTTATTCGTCAGTTAATCCAACAGGCCAGATAAATATGCACAGATACACATCCCAGGAATTCCCAACTCTGTAAAGTCACTCCATAAATGCTTTCCCAATTAATTCTTATTTATGATAATAGAAAACAGCACCACCATCCAGATGTTGAGATCTACAAATAATCTGCTTTATACATTTAAAGAAAAGCCATGCTTCACAACCATAATTTGGAGCAGAATTTAGGGCATTTAATAAATGGGCAATTAACAGCCACAAGACACTGCCCCCAATTTACTGTTTTTTTCCCCAGTTGTTACACAGGTTGGAACCTATTATATAACTTGTAAACACTCTACCACAAGTAATCAGTGTTTGACCCCAATTACAACAGTTCATTTATATCAGCCAATTAAGAGATAAATCAGGAGAGATAGAAAATAGAATGTAGGATCTGATACAGATTTTTAAAGTTGGTAGGAAAAATAAGTATCAGCTAATAAAAGGAGAAACAAGAAATTAAACCAGATTTTATCAGTTAGCTTTGCTGCAGTAACAACACAACCCTCAAATCTCGGTGGCATACATCACACGTGTATTTCCCAGTCACATTACATGTTAGCTCTGGGTTAGCTATGGCTGCCCTCAAAGCTGTGGCTTTTGCCCTGAGGGTCTTCTTACCCAGAATCCAATCCAGAAGAACAGATCATATTTGGGACATGCTATTCTCAAGTCAAAAGGCAGAAGCAAGAGGGATGACAGAAACCTGCTACACCTCCTAAAGCTTCCACTCAGGGCCCGGCGCAGTAATTCACACCTATAATCCTAGCACTTTGGGAGGCTGAGGCCGGTGGATCAGTTAAGGCCAAAAGTTCGAGACCAGCCTGGCCAACATAGCAAAATCTTGTCTCTACTAAGAATACAAAAAATTAGCCAGGCATGGTGGCACACATCTGTAATCCCAGCTACTCGGGAGGCTGAGGCACAAGAGTCACTGGAACCCAGGAGATGGAGGCTGCACTGAGCCGAGATCATGCCACTGCACTCCAGCCTGGGCGACAGAGCAAGACTCTGTCTCAAAACAAAACAAAACAAAGAAACAAACAAAGCTTCTGTTCAGAACTGATATACATCCACTCATACTCCATTGGCTAAGTCTCAAAATTAAGTCTGACTATGGGACAGGGAGACACAACAAATCAAATCACACTGCAACAGACAGGGAAGTATCATCAATCTTCTCAGAGAGAAAGAAGCAAAAGGTTGAGAATAATATATCACTCCTATAGGTCTTCTAGTTTCCATGCCAAATGCTGTTTTACCTACTATTGTTAAGTCTAGACAAAAGATCCACAACTGTTAAGGGAATGAAAACATAAAAAATCTAGGCCCAAAAAGATTCCAGAAAGAGTCACACACAAACTCACCTCCCTTTACCTCCATTACCATTTTCAATCTGTCTGCTGCAACAGAACACAGCCCCGGGACCTGCAGACAGCTAAATGGAAGCGAAGACTTGCACTCTCTGTAATACAGAGGAGGGAACTGGAGTGTGTGTTTTTTGTTTGTTTTTTGTTTTTCTAGGTTCTGGACAAGTATCTGGAGACAAGCCTCTTTGAACCCTAGAACAAGGACCATAAACTAACGGTTCTAAGAAAAGCCTGGCCCACAGAGATCTGATGACCCTTGGGTGGGGAACAGGGAAGGCAGAACATCTACATCTCCTTGAATCATTAGAGGCCAAAATCAGACCTGGGTCCTAATAAGCTGACCAAGAAAACACAACAACACATAAAGAGGCTGAGCATCCAGAAAGACAGGGGTCAAGATGAAGGGAATAAACCCCAAATCAAACAGAGGTGCTTGGAGAGAGAAAGGCCAGTATGAGTCGGAAAAATTAAGGGACACTGGGGAGATTTAACTACAGCAGAGAGAAGCTTTCCCACATCTAAAAACATGATTTTCCAAATAAACCATATAGTAGATTAAATGAAGGAAAGAATGGCTCATGACGAAGATCCAAATTTGTGGTCTGGAAGGTCAAATGGAAAAAACAGCTCAAAGCAACAAAATAGAAATGACGACAGAAAAGATAAGAGACTTGGAGGACAGATCTAATAAGATGAACAGCAGTACCAGCTGAAGAAAGATGAAAAGACGGAGGAGAGGCAGTAATAAAGCAGAAGAATATTTGCTTGGGCCAAAGAAAGACCTTGGTCTGCCGATTAAAAGAGCTCATGTTATTCTACACACAGATCTTGACACATCCTACTAAATTCCTGACTCTGTAAGAAAATATTTTTACAAGCTTACAGGTAGGTAGAACATAGTACTTCAGGAAAAAAAAATCAGAGGCATCAGACTTCTCACCCGCGACAATGGAAGCCATAGCAATGGCTCTAGCAAAATACTAAGAGAAAAGTAGCAAACCCCAAACACAACATCTGTCACTTGTCCTGAAAAAAAAGTGTATGTATGGATACTCAGAAAATACACCACCCACATATGTCATATAGAAAAACACCTGAAAAAGATCTCTGATTGAGGGACAAATGAATTAGAGACCTCTGGGGAAGGACAGGAGAGACAAGAGCAGCAAGAAGTAAACCCTGTCTGTGCCTGAACCTGCTTTCTCTATAGATACACAGTTTCATGTATCTGTATCTATTCCACTAGATAGATACTAAAGTTCAAGCACTGGCTGGGCACAGTGGCTCATGCCTGTAATCCTAGCACTTTAGGAGGCCAAGGCAGGCGGATGGCTTGAGTTCAGGAGTTCAAGACCAGCCTGGGAAACACAGTGAGACCTCATCTCAACAAAAATAAAAAAAGAAAATCCAAGTGCTGCCAAATTACACTTCTAAGTCTAATTCTAGAAAATCATCAATTGTAAGGCACATCTCAATTCCAGAGGTGCTAAAATGCAAAAAAAAAGTGCTTTAGTTTTATGAAATATGGTAGTTATATACAATCAATCTAAATGAGTACTATTAATTGTTATAGCAACATGTAATAAATTCTAAATAAGAATACTTGAAACAAAACAGATGTACGGCAAAGTATTATCTGCTAAGGACTGAATTGAAAGTATGAAACTGTCAAAGGAATATCAAAGCATTGGAAGAAGGGCTAAACACAGTAGGAGTAGGTGCATGCTAAACCTCTTGGCTGGAGGCAGGCTGTGGTGGCTCACGCCTGTAATCTCAGCACTTTGGGAGGCAGAGGTAGGTGGATCACCTGAGGTCAGGAGTTCGAGATCAGCCTGGCCAACATGCTGAAACCCCATCTCTACCAAAAATACAAAAATTAGCCAGGCTAATTTTTGGTGTCGCGCACCTGTAATCCCAGCTACTCAAGAGCCTGAGGCAGGAGAATTGCTTGAACCTGGGAGGCGGGGGATGCAGCGAGCCAAGATCGTGCCATTGCACTCCAGCTTGGGCAACACAGCGAGACTCTGTCTCAAAAACAAACAAACAAACAAAAAAAAACAAAAAACTTTTTGGCTGGGTGTGGGGAAAGCTGAACAAGAGGAAAGTGAAAATATTCCAAAGTTATCACCTTACTGAGGAGGGATGTAAGCAGGAGACAGAAGTTATTATAGCAAAGACAAGTTGGTGGGGAAAGTCACATGTTTTATTTTTAAATAATGGCATATAAACATTTCTGAGTACAGGGAAAGAAAAGATCACCATTAATGGAATGGAAATATACAGTAGAATTTCCAAAGTAACAAGACATTTTTTAAAAAAGAAACCCAAAATAAATTGATCAAACCAGCAAAAACCAGATATAACAAACTGCAAGTTAAAATATGCAGCAAAGAAAGCAAGAAAAAACTATATGACACATGAAGAAAGTAAATTATTCCATTAAAAGACCTATCTATATTCTGTTTAAAAAACACACACACATAAAACAAAATAAAGAAGTCTTGGAAATAAAAGGATAGGCATGGAAATGAGATTTAAAAGGTTAAAATGACTAAATGGGATTTTTTTAAAGGGTATTAAGTAACAACAAAAGCCATGCTTTATGAAAACAGTATATCACAAACCAATACTCAAACTAAAATACAGCAGTTAAATGAAATACAAATTCAAACTACCTAGGGATGTCTACTGTTTGCAGTATCAATCAACATTCCTTAAGAGTACTGGTGAATACAGTAAAAGAAAAAATAACTTGGTGGAAACACGGGAAAAGGAAGGGAGGAAGGGAGAAAGAAAAAACTTTTCTTACTCTCATACAATTACTTTTGCCCTAGAAAACCCAGAAGTTTAGATATAGCATAGTACCAGAGTTATATATAGATATAAAAACTAAACAATAATTAATAAGCACTTTAAATAAGGCTCTCTTAAAAGAAGAGATAGTTTCCATATATGTAAATAATATCTAAATTATATTAATAATAAATCTAAGGTTTTAAAAAATGACTGAGATATACAAACTCTCACAAATCACTACCCAAGAAAAGGAGTAACCAAGATTTTCCCATGGATTCTGTTCTTGAAGGACAAACAGCTATAGGCTGGTAGTTTATCTTGGATCTGATTCCTTGCAAATGAGTGTGGTTCTTCCAGTATCAAAAGAATTTTCTTATAAGAAAGTTTCATATTTGAGGAAGTGTTACTTAAAAAATTTATAGACAGAATCATTCATGGCATTCATTTAACTTTTTGAATGGGCAAAAGTTTGTGTGGATGTTTCAGCAGTTTACAAACTTCGTGTATTCTGACAAAAAAAAAATGCCTACCCACTCCCCCCACCCCACCATTTGTCTATTTACTTAAGGATCACTTATATAGATATTATCATTGTTAGCTAATATCTCAAGGCACAAGTTAGGATAAAGCACACTGCCTACAACAGAGGTAGAATACACAGAAATATATAGATGCAGATATGAACAGACACACATGAAATATATTTTATATATATCCTACTCCTGTTGTACACTAACATTTAACACGCACACACATATATATAACATATACAACATTTAAATAATCCTGATAATTGTGCAAAATTCTGGCTGACCTGTTGTCACATCTGATTGGAACATCAGTGTTTTTCCCTGTCTACTCAGCGTTTCCATTAGGTTGTCTAATAGATATGTTAAACTAAACATGTCCAAACTCAACTTCTAATCTTCCTCCCAAACCTGCTCTACCTACAGTTTCTCCATCTTAAAGATGACTATATAGGCCCAGTTGTATAGGCCAAAGCAGACCCTGGAGTCACTTTTGACAGCTTGCTCTCTCACACAAACTGCATCCTATCTGCCAGGCTAACTTACTGGAAGCTCCTGATGTCAAGAGTGTACTGAAAAATGAGCAGAAAGCATAAAGGTAAGGATGGGGTGACAGTAGGGTGTCCTAATGAATCAAAGCCCCTAGAACAGCATCTGGCACATAGGAGGTTCTCTGTGATTATTTACTGACGGATTAGATCCCTACAAAAAACATGCTAAAGCAGTTATAAAGATCAATACCATAGCTTTTAAATCTAGAAGTTAATTTATAATCTCTACCTACATCAGTATTAAAATGCATTGGAGAAACTGATGCCTATAATCCCAGCACATTGGGAGTCTGAGGCAGGAGGATGGATTGAGGCCAGGAGTTCGAGGTAACAGTGATGGAGCAAGGCTCTAGCTCATAAATAAACAAATAAGTAAAATTGAATAAAGTAGGAGGAAAAAAATTGGAACAATCTGTCACAAAATACTAATGGTCTTTTCGTGTCTGTTAGTGCCTTTCTTCTTTCAATTTTCTTACATTTAAAAATGTAATAAATATCCAATTCCTTTATAATAGAAAAATTTCTTTTAAAACTCTAATGGAAACTGATCTCAACGTTGTCTAACACTTATATTCATTCTTAGGGGTAAGGAAATAGGGAAAAAAAAGGGAGAACTAGTTAAAAGCAAACTGATCACAATGTTTTTCATTATTAAGCAGGCACACACTCCAACTTGCTCCTGGGGTAAACAATCCTTTGGTTTTCCAATTCAGTACCACTTACAAGCATAAAATTTGAATGACTTTCTAAATGTGTTTGGTTAACAGAAGGATGCAGAATTTTAAGAAAATGAAGAGGTCCTTAAGTATGACACATTAAAAAGAAATTTACAGAGAGACTCCAAGAGGAGAGAAATAAAAATTATGGTATGCATGCAAATTAAATATGAAAATGGAAAATCTTTTGCAGAGAACTTTACAGTAAGCTCTTATTTTACTGAAAGGGCCACCGACTTAATATGAAATTCCAATGTAAAAACCAAAAAAGTCACATATCCATATTTCACGTCTTTAAAATCAAGGTAAGAATAATAATGGCAAACCCTTAGTGATCACAATGTGCCACGTGCTGTCTGAAGCACTTTACATACTTCACAAATACGTCATAATACATAACTAATTCTAATGAAACTTTTAAAAAGCTAGGTGGCACATATTTTGGATTTTTAAAAAGGTTGGCCAGGAGAAAATAATACTGTAAATCACCTGCTAAGAGGGTAATTTTTCCTTAAAGATATGTTCTCCTAATCCAATAAAGAAATATTAAATTTCTTAAAACACTTTAAATGGTGCCATTTAGACAACAAATAGAAACTTAAGGGCATAAGTCAAAATGCAAGTAATTTTATTAAAAGAAAAATCTTATAAAGAGAAACTAAGTGTTTTACTGCTAACTAGGAAATGTTCAAGACACACAGGCTTTATTGATTAAGAATGTATAATACTTCTAAAAAGATGCCTAAGTTATTTCTTGAATGCTGAGAGACTTTAAAGATCTTTTAATATAGATGACTTTAGCAGCTGTCGATGAATGGAGGTACTGTTAAATAGGAAACAGAAGTGGATCACCTGACAGACCTTTTAGAGTCCTATCTTCAAAGGAAAGAGGATGAAAATAAACCATTTAAAAATATGTGAGCTGATGAGGAAATCTAGAGTCCACAGCTGATCTCCTATTTATTAGTAGGTAATGTGTTAGGACCACATGTTCTGAGTTTATGACTATGAAGGTCTAACACTGATTCACGTGAGGAGTGCCTCACAGAACCAGCTTTCATATTAAATCAAGTTATCGGGGAAAGTAGTTGAAGTCTAACTATAAAGAAACACCTTCTGTATGAAATAACCTGTTCTTTGAATTTGCATCTTGATAGGACTTTTATTCTCTTTTCATATCATTACAAAAGAATGCATCATCATCACAATACTAAACAAAACACAAAATAATCTGCACAACTTTTTTAAGGGAAAAATGTGTGTATTGTTTATTACACTGAACAATTCTGACCACCAACAACCAATGGCAGGCGGGAGGTTATTAACACTGAGACCATAAAACCATCTTGCTTCTTAACAAACTTTCCTCCTTCACTTTAATATTTTTGAGGATTCTTTCCCAAACCTATTAATTCCATATCATGATGGTTACAAATTTTCCAATTCCGCCACTCCTTTCAGCGCATTATTTTTTGTATCTTCATTAAAGTGGCAAAAAAAAAAAATCCCCTACTTGTAATAATAAAGCAATGTTGGAAACAGACATTAAAACACAGGACAAGTGAAAAACAGATCTGTCCTAAGACTCACAGGACTACAAATTTAGGAAGTACATAAAAAATTACAAATTAAACTCAATTTGATACATTAAATACGTGTAGCTTTTTGTATGTCAATCATATAACAAGTGGTTTTAAAACAAATGATCCAACCCATACCACCAACTAATAAACAAAAAAATAAGCAAATGAATCATGAAAAAAAAATCATCCTTTTTGGATTAATCCTTTCAGTGAAGAACACTAACAATTATTTACATTGCAATGAATACAGTTCCCTAAATATAACAAATGAATTATTTTATATACACGTTTCATTTTTATTTTTGGAGAACTGGTTAACAAATATATTTTAAGTTCAATGTATTATATATTTATGAGTGGGAAGCGATCTTAAACATTTTTAACAGCAGAAATATATAAAACAATTATAAGTGGAAATAATACAGACAAAGTGCCTTGTGTTTTTATCCTGGAGTCAAACCACAGAAATCTTAGGTTACTAAGAAAACTTTGAAAAACATTATTTTGAATATTAAAAATCATGCATTTTGGGGAGGGAGAATATTAACGGCCTTTCTTTGACTTAAAATACTTTACAATTTATGAAATATACAAGTTGGAATGGAGCAACTCCTAAAATAACCAGTATTGTGAGGAGGGAAATTGAGCACAGACACAAACTACTGTTTCTTCACTCAACCTGTTGCCAATGCTCAGCTGAAGAAGTTCCCACCTAAAAGAGCAGAAGTCATTCTATTTTAGGGGGGTAGTGTGAATGACTTTTTCTATGTATTAACTAGAATTAAATGGTAATTTGTAAAATGCTTTTCCATTTTTAAACATGAGAGTCTCTACCTGAAACCACAAAGCAGCAGGTACTGCCAGGGTCTTAGGCTAACATCTGCAACCCACCAGTCTGCATGGCCTATAAGTAGGTGTGGAGAGGACCAGAGTTCACCTGTCAGCAGCACCACAGACTCGACTGTCCGGGCTTTCTGCCATTAATTACCAGAGATGTGTCCTTTTTCTTGGTATTCTTTTTCCGCTGGAGGCTTCTGAAGATCTTGTTCCTATGAACACATTTGGGGCTCAACATACTGTCTGCAGGGTGTGGGGGTGGAAAATTGGAGGCAGGAAGCAAGAGGCGTGCGTGCACTCACTCTCCCTTCCTGCTTCTCGGGAACCCAGGCTTGTCCAGCATGAAACTGGAGGTGAACCCAACCATCTGTGTCTGCAGGGAGACTTCTCCCGTGGAGCACATGCCACTTGACACCACTCTTGTGGAGATTCCACTCACTGCCTCTGGCATCCCTGCCCTGGCTGCAATTCTGGCCCAGGAGGCCAGCAAAGCCTCTGGGGCAGAAGCTGTCACCACAACCGTATTAACTCCTTCAAGGAGAGCAGCGGACTCTACCAGGGCAGGCAACCCCTCCTCAGGAAGAAGAGCCACTTTGGGAGGATGCATCTCCTCAGAACTTTGCAGGGACATTTCCCCCTTTTCCACCTTTGATTTTTTTCGTAATGTCTTCCAGATTCTGGCCTCTTTTTCCTGTGCTAGGAATATCCTTTCGATTTGGGTAGATACTCATTATCTCCACATAGCTATTTCACAGGCACTCTGTATGTCCGGCAATCTAGCCCATAGGCTGAAGCCCCAACCCCCAAAGCCTATCCTTCTCCTGGGTTCCTGAGCTCAGCCAATATGGCCACTATGCATCCAGGTGGTTGTGTCAGAAATCTGTGGATCCTTCTTGGCACCTCATTTCTCTTCAGAAGCTAGCAGCCAATCCTATCTTGTGAATTTGATCTCCTAAATATTTCTTCAATCTATTTCTCCCTAATGTACTCCTAGTCCAAGCTACTATTACTTTTCACCTGGACAACTGCAACACCCCGACTCATCTCTGTTCAACCTCTTTTTATTCCCCTACCACGATCCATTCTCCAGAAGAGCCAGAAGCAACATTAAGAAAACAGACCAAACTGATCACCTTCTGTTTATAAAACCTTCAGTGATTTTCTGTTGCATTTAGGATGAAGGAAAATGTCCTTCCATGGTCTTGGAGGCCCTGCATGCGCTGGCTCATTTCCCATAACCGGGCCCTCCTTGGTGCTTTACGCTACACTGGCCTTATCTCCGGGGCCTTCTTACATATGATTCCTCTGCCTGGGCTGCTGGGCCTTCCCTGCACCCCCTTATCACCTAGTTACTTACTATTCATAAATCAGAACTCAGACCCAACAGCATACCCTCAGGAAAATGCCATTAACTGGTCCAGACTAGATCAGGTGTCCTACTTAGACATTCTCATAGCGCCTATAAAGCACTCATTACATTCTAATTAAACAATGTTGGTTTCATTTACCAGACTGTGAACTAGGCAAGAGGCAAAAGCAAGGCCCACACTGATCTTCTTAACAGATGTTTCCCCTATGCATAGTACCTGGTACATATGAAAGATTGAATATGCCTTTGTAAATGAATCCATGAGCTGACCACCTATCCATCCATCAATCAATCTACAAAACCTCATTAAGCTACTATATAAACAAGATAGGTGTGCATCACCTCACCTTTCTTTAATTTGTATTTGATTTTTATTCTGGCTATCTTTTATTTTTCACTGAATATATGCCTTACGTCTCCCATAAACTGAAGCTGCATGAAGGCTTCTGAGGGAAATGCTTGTACTAGAATTGTGGAAACATTGAAGGAGACCAAGATAAGGCAAGGGTTGTCAATCCTCCAACATAAAGAAAAATCCAATCTGAATTTCTCTCAGAAGGACCCTCTCCACCCCCTAATAAGATAGTATATAAGCCCAAAATTTGAACTATTTGAGTCACATTTATTTGTGAATTCCTGGGTACATATATACACCATCAAATCTATTTTTTCTCTTGCTACTCTGTCTTTTGTCGCTATAATTTGTAGGCCCCCAACTATAAAATGTAAGAGAGTAAAGAAAAAAGATTTTTTCCTTCTCCCAAAAGACAGAGAATATAAGGCAAAAAAAGCCAAAAAAAAAAACCTGTGCTTACAAAAGAACTTTAATAATGAAATCATCTTTGCAAAAATCACGACAGTGAGAAAAATCTGACCTAACCAACTCCATCTTGCTTCTAGCCTCCCAAGCTGCCCTTGTTCATTCCTGGGTGTAGGCCAAACTAACTTTGGGAGGAATTTAGTTCAGAGTTTAACTTTGAAATAAAGATGGTAACAGCCCCTTCCTGAAACAAACTCCCTCCTTGCTTAGGGACCAGATACCCTTTGTAAAACTAACAAATTAGCCACATGATTAGAAATTATGGCTCAGGAATCATGCAGCCAGAGGCCACAAGATTCCTAACCTCCCCAATTGCTCCCATGGATAACATTACTATTGTAAGACCTAAGACTGGTGTTCAAGGTATTTTTCAGACTCTGCATTCTGACAGACCAGCTGGTATCACTCAGACCAATAAAATCTGGCTCAACTAGTTTTGCAATCCCACTCAGGAACAGAAGACAGCAAGAAAACCAGCTTCAATCCACTAGGATTACATCCCTCACTCAACCAAACAGCATTCCCCATTCCCTAGCCCCCTGCTGTCAAACTACACACACACACACACACACACACACACACACACACACACACACACACACACTTTTTAACAAACAGGGAGTCTTCTTAAAGACACACTTTTTTTTCATTGCCCAGGCTGGAGTGTAACGGCTATTCACAGGCACTATCCCACTACTGATCAGCATGGGAGTTTTGACCTACTCTGTTTCCAACCTGGGCCAGTTCACCCCTCCTTAGGCAACATGGTGGTCCTTGCTTCCAGGAGGTCATCACACTGATACTGAACTTAGTGTGGACACCCAATTGGCATACTGCTCTACAGCCCAGACCTCCTGGGCTCAACAGATCCTCCTGTCTCAGCCTCCCAAGTAGCTGGGACAACTGGCGCACACCACCACACCCAGTATGTCAAAACTATCTTTATTTTAACTGATTTACTTATTTTTTGAGACAGGGCCTCAGTTTGTCACTCAGGCTGCAGAGCAGTGGCACAAACAAGGTTCACTGCAGCCCTGACCTCCCAGGCTCAAGCCATCCCTCACCAGAGCCCCCCAAATGGCTGGGACTACAGGCACGCACCACTAGGCCCGGCTAATTTTTGTATTTTTTTCTTTTTGTAGAGACAGCATCTCACCACATTGCCCAAGCTGGTCTCAAACTCCTAAGGCTCAACCAATCCGCCTGCCTCGGCCTCTCAAAGTGCTGGGATTACAGACAAACTATCTTTAAAAAATCCCAGCCTCTGAATTTTCACTGAGGCTGAGTAATATAAAACTCCAGTCTCCCATTTACCCAGCTCTATGTGTATTAAACTCTTTCTCTATTGCAATTCCCTTGTCTTGATAAATTGGCTCTGCCTGGGCAGCAGGCAAGAACTTGTTGGGTGGTTACAATAACTGATATAATACATTATTTTAGACACAGTACATTAATTAAGACCAGAGTATTATTTTTATCACTATAAGGTTGACTGGAAAATGTGGTTTTAGTTCAGTCAAAGCCTGTTAAAGGCAAGACACTCAATACCAATGTGGCATCTACTAACCCTCTCTCTTCCATCACCCCTTCCATTGCCCCACCCAATCTGAGGGAAAGACCGCATTTACACACATTAGTAGCCTCATGCTCTTCCACCTCAGAGAGGAAAGAGGCATCTCCACAATGCCTATTTCTAATGCTCAGAGCAGCTACTATAGTACATTCCTACTTCAAAAAGACTCATTTTCAATAGAAACCTTTGTAAAGAAATGAGTTTTATAATACCTTACTTATCTTGAAATTTACATTTTGATGCAATATAAACTGTAATAATTAAAAACCAAGAAGGTAAAAAACAGATTGGGGGAAATTTGCTCCCACTTGATCACAAAACCTAACTATAAATATACTATTAAAAACTTGCAGAAAATTCTTTATATCAATGATCTGTGGTCTTCAATATCAGGCACTCAAAATAATTGAAGTCTAGAATGAAAAAGTCCATCTAGCAACTGATAATTTACCACTGACTGAGTGCTGAGCTATAAATTCAGTTAGAAGTTGAAGCCATGGCATATGTACAAAACTTCAAATTCTAAGTCTACATTCATTTGCCCATGCTTGTTTGTTATTAAAACCACATGTTGTCACTGAATCATTTTATAGTTCATTTGAGACAAACATGCAGAAAATTGTGGGAAACAAATAAAGTCCTAAAAGTCTGTTAAAGGCAAGATACTCAATGCCAATGCAACCTCAGTTATGAGGCTTTGTGAAGCCTAAGCTAAAAAGTGTATCTGTGGTTGAAAAGAGGTTTGTCTTAATAAGAAAACTCCACTGCAGCTGTAATGAGATTGAAACTGTAGCAACCACTGATCGAATTTTTATTTTTATCCCATAAACTAGAAAATATGAATCTCATTGCTTAATGAGAAAATGTGTGCCAAAACTTTAATATCTTTAACTAGTCACATATTTAAACTTCACAGGGTAAAAGTGTCCTATATTTTAAAAATCTAAAGCATGCATCAAACTAGTGAATTAATAACAAAGGATTCCTTCCTTAAAAGACACTTTGCTGTATCCTAAATGTGAAAACAAAAACATCTCAGAACCTCCCCACACTCATCTTCAAAGTTCATTTCATACCTTATAAGCATTTTAAAGCAAATTTGCTATGATTTGAATGTGTCCCCCAAAGTTCATGTGCTGGAAATTTGATCCCCAATGTGGCAGTGTTGAGAGGCAGGATGGAATGGGAGGTACTTGGGTCATGGGGGCACCACCCTCATGAATGGCTTAATGCTGTTATCTGAGGAGAGAGTTCCATATAAAAGGGCGAGTTTGGTCCCTCAGTCTTGGACTTCCTAGCCTCCAGGATAATGAACAGGTAATTTCTGTTCATTATAAATTACCCAGTCTGTGGTATTCTGTCATAGCAGTACAAAACAGACTAAGATAAAGTTCCTCCTGATAATTCTGAATTCTAACTAGCATACACCACTCTCAAAATAAGAAAAAAAAAAAAAAGTAGGCAGAAAGCTATATAACAAGAAAGCATGATACAACCCCCCAAGAAAACTTTTGAAAAATGTTAACTCAACTTTTGCCATTGTTTTCACAACCCCATGAATCAAGTATCAACCTGCTTCATCTGTACTTCCCTATAATTACTTTATGTACCCTGTCCCCCACCCACTGGACACACAATTCAACTGAACAAACTTTAAAAAGACATCTACAGTTTGCTAAGCATGATGGTTTATAAAGAAGTAAAAGAGATACAAATCCCTACACGGAAGGGTTTCTCAAACTGGAAGGAACATCAAACCAACTATCAGCACTCCATACTAGCGCACTCTGAGAGCCCAGTGCAGGAGGTGACTGGGGCAGGGGGAGCCTTTCCAGAAGGGATAACACTGCAACTGAGCCAAGATGCATAGATTCTCATCATGCTATAAAAGACAAGAAAAGAACTCTAAATACAGAGAACGGTTTAAACGTTAGCATGCATCATAATCATTTCAAGCGCTTGTTAAAACACAGATTCTAAGCCCTAGCACCAGACTTCCGATTTAGGTAGGACCTGAGAATTTGCATTAATATCAAGTTCCCAGGTTATGCTAATAATGCTCTTGGTCTTTTCACTGTAACACTATGTGATGAAAGAGGTGGGGGTCTCTGGCATGTGCTCTCTTTCTCTCTCAGGTGTTTTTTATAAAGATGCTAATCCCATCATGGGGCCTCCACCCCCATGACCTAATTCACCTTCCAAAGGCCATACACCTCCTAATACCATCATCTTGAAAGTTGGAACTTCAATGTAAGAATTTTGGGGGAACACAAATATTCAGACCATAGCAATTATATAAATGTTTTAAAATATGACAATTTTTTAAAACTGTTGAACTCAGGGCACTTTTAACCAAAGTTTAAATATTTCATAAACAAATTATCTTAAACGTACTTTTAAAAATGCAACTGGTTCATACCATTTCACACCTATTAGTATGACTATAATTTAAAGAGAAAAAACAAAATAACAAGTGGTGACAAGACACTGGAACCCTAATACATTGCTGGTGGGAGTGTAAATGGTGCAGCCACTGTGGAAAACAGTTTGAGGCTTCCTCAAACAGCTAAAAATAGAATTCCTTTATGACTGAGCAACTCCACTTATAGGTATACACCCAAAAGAATTAAAAGCAGGAACTCAGACAGAACCTTGCATACCATTGTTCACAGCAGCCTTATTCACAATAGCCAAAAGATGGAAACAACCCGGGTGACCATTAACAGAGGAAGTATATCCATGCCATGTAATATTATTCAAAGAGGGAATGGGGTTCTGACACAAACTACAACATGGATAAACATTAAAAACACTGAGCTAAGTGAAATAAGCCAAACACAAAGGACAAATATCACATGGTCCACTGATATGAAATAACTAGAACAGGCAAAATCACAGAGACATAAAGTGGATTAGAAGTTACTAGGGGCTGGGGTGAGGGGAGAGTGGGGAGTTATTGCTTAATGGTTACAGAGTTTGTATCTGGAGTGATGAAAACATTTTAGAAATAGTGATCATGGTTGCACAACACTGAATGTAATTAATGCTATTAGGCACTTAAAATTGTTAAAAAACGGCAAATTTTAGTTTATATATTTTTAAATAAATACCACCATAAAAAGCTCAAGTTTAATTAATTCAAAGTTTAGTCTCAATTATTTGTCTAAAAGCCCACTAAAGATTAAATTGCTTTCCAGCACTTTGGGAGGCTAAGGCAGCGGATCACCTGAGGTTGGGAGTTTGAGACCAGCCTGACCAACATGGAGAAACTCCGTCTCTACTAAAAAATTAGCCAGGCGTGGTGGTGTGTGCCTGTAATCCCAGCTACTCAGGAGGCTGAGGCAGGAGAATCGTTTGAACCTGGGAAGTAGAGGTTGCGGTGAGCGGAGATCACACCATTGCACTCCAGCCTGGGCAACAAGAGTGAAACTTCATCTCAAAAAAAAAAAAAAAAAAAAAAAAAAGATTTAATTGCTGTCACAGTACTTTGATTTCAGTTTAGCTGACCCCTTAAGTTATGAAGATGTATCATTTTTTTTGTTTTGTCTACAGTATTTACATGCTCACAAAGAAAAACAGCTAATGGAAGATTAGACAATAATTTTAACCAAATTTAATCAGATCAACTTTGAAAGGCAGAAATAGTCACAGTAAACAAGCTCACTAATAACAGATAAGGAAGGTATAAGAATGCTAGATAAGCAACTCTGTTTCAAAGGTAAATTATCTAATTTTGTTTCCCCCAGTCATAAGAAAAATAAACCTCCTAATAAAAGCGCGCGAAGTTTTTTAATGGGATAAAACAGACCAGCAGGATGCATTATATACTAGTATGGTATCTTTGCCTATAGTTATTTTCGTAGCCATAATATGAATTTCCCAACGAACATAATCTTACTTGTCTCTGGCACTCCCTCGACTTTCAATACTTTGGGTACGTTAAAAAGACAGAAAAAAAAACAATTATATAATGAGGCTCCTAATATACAGGAAATGTGTAATGAGCTATGCCATCATATACACTTCTCTACTTCAGTAACTTTGGTTCTACAAACTCTAACCTGATTTAAGTGATGCTAACTCCTGATTTCTCACCTCAAAACTAAGTTTCTCAAGGATGGCTGTGACTTTGCCTTTACTGTTTGTTCTATAGCCTTAAGCATTTAGAAAATATCAGTGTCAAGTGAAAGTTGGTAAGTATAGCGCAAGTCACAATACGGGCAATGTAACTCAAATTTGTCAATCTAAAAGTCCTTTGAGGCTGGGTGTGGTGGTTCGTGTCTGTAATCCCAGCACTTTGGGAGGCCAAGGTTGGAGGATCGCTTGAGTCCAGGAGTTAGACACCAGCCTGGGCAACAAAGAGAGATACCATCTCTATAATAAAACTTAAATAGCTGTATGTGGTGGTGCATATCTATGGTCCCAGCTATATGAAGCATGAGTAACTTGAGACCAGGATTTCGAGGCTGTAGTGAGCTATGATGAGACAGTGCACTCCAGCTTGGGTGACAGAGTCTCCGAGCCTGTCTCAAAAAAAACAAAAAAAAATTTTTTTTTTAATAAATAAAAGTCAGGTGCAGCCAAGATGGCTGAACAGAAACAGCTCTGCTCTGTGGCTTCCACTGAGAAGGACAAAAATGGTGAGTGAATTCTGCATCTTCAACTGAGGTACCAAGGTTCTCTCATTGGGACTGACGAGGCAGTTGGCATGACCCATGGAGAGCAAGGAAAGGCAGGCTGGAGCAAGGGCCCACCCGGGAGCTTCACAAGGCGGCAGGGGGAAAGGGGGCTCCCTCCCCTGGTCAAGGCAGGCAGTGAGGGATTGTGCTACCCCTCCCTGAAAGCCATGCTTTTCCCACAGATTCTTGCAATCCACAGATCAGCAGGTCCCCCTCATGAGCCCATGCATCCAGGGCCTTGGGTCCTAAGCACAGAACTGTGCAGAATCACGGCAGCTGCTCAGGAGGGTGGTGTCTCGAGCAGACACTGAGACATAGGAGTATTTGCATACTCCAGCTCTGGGAACCCCAGCGAGGCAGGACATCTGTCCACTCCCATGGGAAGGGGGCTAAAGCCAGGGAGCCAAGTGACCTCATTCCCACAGAACCCCAAGAGCTAAAATCCACTGGCTTGGAATCCCCACCAGCCAGCACATCAGACTTGAGACTGCCTAAGACAACTGAGTTCCTGAGGAAAAGGGGCAGCCGCCATCACTGCAGCTCCAGTTGGCTGTTTTCCCCTGCCACCAGTGCCAGCAAGACCGGGTGGTTTGGACCAGAAGCAACTCCCCACATCACAGTACAGCGGCTGGGTCAGTTCTTGGCCAGACTGATTCTTTAAGCAGGACCCCGATCCACTCCTCCTCACTGGGTAGTGCCTCCCTGTGGGAATTTCAGCATCCCCAGCCAGGGGTTTATGGACAGAACTCTGATATCCCTGACAGGAGCCCCTAGGAGGAGGGGCGGCTGTGGTATCATGGATAAGCAATCTTAGTCTTTTATGCCTGCTGGCTCTGGAGAGTCAGGGCAGCCTGGATGAGGGGGATTCCCCACAGCACAGCACACCCACTCTGCCAACGGGCAGCCAGACTGCTTATTTAAGTGGGTCCCTGATCCTGCTCCTCCTGACTGGGTGAGACCTCCTGACAAAAGCCTGCAGACACCTCATACAAGGGCATTCTATCCAGCATCAGGTCAGTGCCTCTCTGGGACAGAGCTCCCAGAGAAAGGAGCAGGCTGCCATCTTTGCTGGTCTGCAGCCTCCCCTGGTGATACCTCCAGGGATGGGAGGGGCCCCGGAGAATAGGGTCTAGAATGGACCCCCAGCACACTGCAGTAGTCCTACAGAAGAGGGGCCTGACTGCTAAAAGAAAAACAAACCGAAAGCAACAACAACAACATCATCAACAAAAAAGACCCACACAAACCCCATCCAAAGGTCAGCAGCCTCAAAATCAAAGGTAGATAAACCCATGAAGATGATAAAGAATCAATGCAAAAATGCTGCAAACTCAAAAAGTCAGAGGGCCTCTTCTCCTCCAAATAATCACAGCATGTCTCCAGCAAGGGCACAGAACTGGGCCGAGGCTTGAGATGGGTGAATTGACAGAAGAAGGCTTCAGAAGATGGGTAGTAATGAACTTTGCTGAGATAAAGGAGTGTGTTCTAACTCACTGCAAAGAAGTGAAGAACCATGATAAAACATTACAGGACCTGTTAACCAAAATAACCAGTTTAGAGATGAACATAAATGACCTGATGGAGTTGAAAAACACAACATGAGACCTTCACAATGCCAACACAAGTATCAATAGCTGAATAGACCAAGTGGAAGAGAAGATATCAGAACTTGAATACCATCTTGCTGAAATAGGCAGACAAGATTAGAAAAAAAGGAATGAACAAAACCTCCAAGAACTATGGGATTATGTTAAAAAACCAAACCTACAGCTGATGGGGTACCTGAAAGAGACAAGGAGAATGGAACCAAGTTGGAAAACACACTTCAGGGTATCATCCAGGAGAACTTCCTCAACCTAGCAAGATAAGCCAACATTCAAATTCAGGAACTCCAGAGAACCCCAGGAAGATAACTCCATGAGAATATCAACCCCAAGACATATAATCATCAGATCCTCCAAGGTTGAAATGAAGAAAAAAAAATGTTAAGGGCAGCCAGAGAGAAAGGCCGCTCATCTCTACAGGGAGGCCCATTAGACTAAGAGCAGACCTCTCAGCAGAAACCCTACAAGCCAGAAGACATTAGGGGCTGATATTCAACATGCTTAAACAAAAGAATTTCCAACCTAGAATTTCGTATCTGGCCAAAGTAAGCCTCATAAGCAAAGGAGAAATAAAATCTTTTTCAGACAAGCAAATGCTGAGGGAATTCATCAGCACCAAGCCTGCCTTGCAAGAGTTCCTGAAGGAAGCACTAAATATGGAAAGGAAAAACCATTACCAACCACTAGGAAACCACATGGAAGTACACAGGCCAGTGACATGATGAAGCAACTACATAAACAAGTCTGCAAAATAATCAGCCAGCATCATGATGAAACAATCAAATTCACACAATAACAATAGTAACCTTAAATGTAAATGGGCAAATGCCCCCAATTAAAAGGCACAGAATGGCAAACTGGAGTAAAGAGTCAAGATCCATTGCTGTGCTGTATTCAAGAGACCCATCTCACATGCAAAGACACACATAGGCTCAAAAGAAAAGGATGGAGGAAAATTTACCAAGCAAATGGAAAACAGAAAAAAGCACGTGTTACAATCCTAGTCTCTGACAAAACAGACTTTAAACCAACAAACATTAAAAAAGACAAAAAAGGGCATTACATGATGGTAAAGGGCTCAAATCAAGAAGAAGAGCTAACTATCCTAAATATATATGGACCCAATACAGGAGCACCTAGATTCATAAAACAAGTTCTTAGATACCTACAAAGAGATTTACACTCCCACACAAGTATAGTGGGAGACTTTAATACCCTACTATCAAGGATAGACCATTGAGACAGAAAATTAACAAAGATATTCAGGACCTGAACTCAGCTCTGGATCAAGTGGACCTGACAGATACCTACAGAACTCTCTCCCCAAAAACAACAGAATATGCATTCTTCTCGGTGCCACATGGCACTCTAAAACTGATCGCACAATTGGAAGAAAATCACTTGTGAGCAAATGCAAAATAACTGAAATCATAACAAACAGTCTCTTAGACCACAATGCAATCAAATCAGAACTTAAGATGAAGAAACCCACTCAACACCACAAAGGTATATGGAAATTGAACAACCTGCTTCTGAGACTACTGGCTAAATGATGAAATTAAGGCAGAAATCAAGAAGTTATTTGAAATCAGTAAGAACAAAGAAACAACGTATCAGAATCTCTGGGACACAGATTTGCAGCATTATGAGGGAAATTTATAGCAATAAATGCCTACATCAAAAAGTTAGAAAGATCTCAAACTGACAGCCTAACATCACAACTAAAAGAACTAGAGAACTGAGAGTAAACAAACCCCAAAGCTAGCAGAAGACAAGAAATAACCAAGATCAGAGCAGAACTGAAGGAGATAAACATGAAAAACCCTTCAAAAAAAAAAAAAAAAATCAAAGAATCCAGGAGCTAGTTTTTAAAAAATATTAATAAAAATAGACTACTAACTAGACTAATAAAGAAGAAAAGAATCAAATAGACACAATAAAAAGTGATAAAGGGGATATCACTGGCGACCCCACAGAAATACAAACAATGATCAGAGAATACTATAAACACCTCAATGCAAACAAACTCGAAAATCTGTAAGAAATGGATATATTCCTGGACACATAAACCCTCCCAAGAATGAACCAAAAGGAATTGGAATCTCTGACTAGACCAATAACCTGTTCTGAAATTGAGGCAGTAATAAATAACTAAAAAAAAAAACAAAAAAAAGCCCAGAACCAGACGGTTTTACAGCTGAATTCTACCAGAAATATAAACAGGAGCTGATACTCTTTCTTCTAAAAGTATTCCAAACAACTGAAAAGGAAGTGCTCCTCCCTAATTCATTCTATGACGCCAGCATCATCCTGATACCAAAACCTGGCAGACATACAACAACAAAAAACAAAACTTCAGTCCAATATCCCTGATGAACATCAATGTAAAAATTCTCAATAAAATACAGGCACGCCGAATACAGCAGCACATCAAAAACCTTATCCACCGTGATCAAGTCGGCTTCATCCCCAGGATGCACGGCTGGTTCAACATACGCAAATCAATAAACATAATTCATCACATAAACAGATCCAAAAACAAAAACCACATGATTATCTCAATAGACACAGAAAAGGCCTTCAGTAAAACTCAACATCCTTTCATGTTATGTCTCAATAAACTAGGTATTGATGGATCATACCTCAAAATAATAAGAGCTATACAGGACAAACCCACAGCCCGTATCATACTGAATGGGCAAAAGGTGGAAGCATTCCCTTTGAAAACCAGCACAAGAGAAGGATGCCCTCGCTCACCACTCCTATTCAACATAGTATTGGAAGTTCTGGCCAGGACAATCAGGCAAGAGAAAGAAATAAAGGATTCAAACAAGAAGAGAGGAAGTCAAATTGTCTCTGTTTGCAGATGACATGATACTCCTTCTAGAAAACCCCATTGTCTCAGCCCACAAGCTTCTTAAGCTTTTAAGCAATTTCAGCAACGTCTCAGGATACAAAATCAACATGCAAAAGTCACAAGCATTCCTATACACGAACTACAGGCAAGCAGAGAGCCAAATCATGAATGAACTCCCATTCACAATTGCTACAAAGAGAAAAAAATAACTAAGAATACAGCTAGCAAGGGACGTGAAGGATCTCTTCAAGATGAACTACAAACCACTGCACAAGGAAATCAGAGAGGACACAAACAAATGGATAAACATTCCACGCTCATGGATAGGAAGAATCAGTATTACAAAAATGGCCACACCACCCTAAGTAATTTATAGATTCAATGCTATTTCCATTAAACTACCATTAACATTCTTCACAGAATCAGAAGAAACTATTTTAAAATTCATATGGAATAAAAAAAGAGCTCATACAGCCAAGACAATCCTAAGCAAAAAGAACAAAGCTGGAGGCAACATGCTACTGGACTTCAAAATATACCGCAAGGCTACAATAACCCAAACAGCATGGTACTGCTACAAAAACAGACACATAGACCAATGGAATAGAATAAAGAACTCAGAAATAAGATGGCACATCTACAACCATCTGATCTTTGAGAAACCTGACAAAAACAAGCAATGGGGAAAGGATTCCCTATTTAATAAACGGTGCTGGGAGAACTGGCAAGCCATATCAAGAAAACTGAAACTAGACCCCTTCCTTATATAAAAATTAACTCAAGATGGATCAAAGACTTAACTGTAAAACCCAGAACCATAAAAACTCTAGAAGAAAATCTAGGCAATACCATTGAGGACACAGGCACAGGCAAAAGTTTCATCACAAAATCGCCAAAAGCAATAGTAACAAAAGCAAAAATTGATAAATGGGATCTAATTAAACTAAAGAGCTTCTGCACAGCAAAAGAAACTATCATCAGAGCAAACAGGCAACCTACAGAGTGGAAGAAAATTTTTGCTATCCATCCATCTGACAAAGGTCTAGTATCCAGAGTCTACAAGGACCTTATATTTACATGAAAAACAAACAAACAAACAAACAGGGGGATCTGGCAAGATGGCTGAATAGGAACAGCTCCGATATGTAGCTCCCAGCAAGGCCATAACAGAAGGTGGGTGATTTCTGCATTTCCAACTGAGGTACCCGGTTCATCTCAATGGGACTGGTTAGACAGTGGGTGCAGCCCACAGTGGGCAAGCAGATGCAGGGTGGGGTGTTGCCTCACCCGAGAAGCACTAGGGGCCAGGGAACTACCTCCCCTAAACAAGGGAAGCCTTGAGGGACTGTGTCATGAGGAATGGTGCATTCCAGCCCAAATACTATGCTTTTCCCACAGTCTTCGCAACCCACAGACGAGGAGATTCCCTCTAGTGCCTACGCCACCAGGGTCTTGGGTTTCAAGCACAAAACTGGGTGGCTGTTTGGGCAGAGCTAGGTGCAGGAGTTTTTTTTTTTCTGTTGTTTCTTTTTTTTCTTCGTACCCAGTGACACCTGGAACCCCAGTGAGACAGAACTGTTTACTCCCATGGAAAGGGGGCTGAAGCCAGGAAGCCAAGTGATCTTGCCCAGTAGGCTCCACCCCCACAGAGCCCAGCAAGCTAAGATCCACTGGCTTGAAATTCTTGCTGCCAGCAAAGCATTCTGAAGTCGACCTGGGGTGATTGGGTTTGGTTAGGGGAAGGGCATCCACCATTACTGAAGCTTGAGTAGGTGGTTTTCCCCTCACAGTGTAAACAAAGCTGCGGCGAAGTTCGGGCTGGGCAGAACCCACTGCAAAGCCACAGTAGCCAGACTGCCTCTCTAGACTGCCTCACTGGGCAGGGCATCTCTGACAGAAAGGCAGCAGCCCCAGTCAGGTGCTTATAGATAAAACTCCCATCTCCATAAGACAGGGCACCTGGGGGAACAGGCAGCTGTGGGCACAGCTTCAGCAGACTTAACTGTTCCTGTCTGCCAGCTCTGAAGAGAGGAGTGGATCTCGCAGCACAGCACTTGAGCTCTGCTAAGGGACACACTGCCTCCTCAAGTGGGTCCCTGACCCCCATGCTTCCTGATGGGGAGACACCTCCCAGGAGGGTTCAACAGACACCTCATAAAAAAGAGCTCCAGCTGGCATCTGGTATGTGCCCCTCTGGGACAAAGCTTTCAGAGGAAGGAGCAGGCAGCAAGCTTTGCTGTTCTGCAGCCTCTGGTGGTGATACCCAGGCACACAGGGTCTGAAATGAACGTCCAGCAAACTCCAGCAGACCTGCAGCAGAGGGGCCTGACTGTTAGAAGGAAAACTAACAAACATAAAGCAATAACATCAACAAAAACAAAAAGGACACCCACGCAAAAACCCTATCCAAAAGTCATCCGCGTCAAAGATCAAAGGCAGACAAATCCATGAAGATGAGGAAAAACCACCAAAAAAAGGCTGAAAACTCCAAAAACCAGAATACCTCTTCTCCAAACGATCACAACTCCTCACCAGCAAGGGAACAAAACTGGGCAGAAAATGAGTATGAAAAACTGACAGAAGTACACTTCAGAAGGTGGGTAATAACAAACTCCTCGGAGCTAAAGGAGCATGTTCTAACCCAATGAAAGCAAGCTAAGAACCTTGATAAAAGGTTACAGGAACAGCTAACTAGAATAACCAGTTTAGACACGAACATAAATGACCTGATGGAGCTGGAAAACACAGCACGAGAATTTCGTGAAGCATACACAAGTATCAATAGCCGAATCGATCAAGCAGAAGAAAGGCTATCAGAGACTGAAGATCAACTTAATGAAATAAAGTGTGACGACAAGATGAGAAAAAATAATGAAAAGGAACGAACAAAGCCTCCAAGAAATATCGGACTATGTGAAAAGACCAAACCTACGATTGATTGGTGTACCCGAAAGTGACAGGGAGAATGGAACCACGTTGGAAAACACACTTGAGGATATTACCCAGGAGAACTTCTCCAACCTAGCAAGAAAGGCCAACATTCAAATTCAGGAAATACAGAGAGCACCACTAAGATACTCCTCGAGAAGATCAACCCAAGACACATAATCATCAGATTCACCAAGGTTGAAAGGAAGGAAAAAATGTTAAGGGCAGCCGGAGAGAAAGGTCAGGCTACCTACAAGGTGAAGCCCATCAGACTAACAGCAGATCTCTCTGTAGAAACGCTACAAGCCAAAAGAGAGTAAAGGCCAATATTCAACATTCTTAAAGAAAAGAACTTTCAACCCAGAATTTCATATCCAGCCAAACTAAGCTTCATAAGCAAAGAAGAAATAAAATCCTTTACAGACAAGCAAATGCTAAGAGATTTTGTCACCACCGGGCCTGCCTTACAAGAGCTCCTGAAGGAAGTGCTAAATATGGAAAGGAAAATCCCATACCAGCTACTGCAAAAACAACAAATTGTAAAGACCACTGACACCACAAAGAAACTGCATCAACTAATGTGCAAAATAAACAGCTAGCATCATGACAGATCGAATTCACACATAACAATATTAACCTTAAATGTAAATGGGCTAGATGCCCCAGTTAAAAGAAACAGACTGGCAAATTGGATAGAGTTAAGACCCACTGGCGTGCTGTATTCAGGAGACCCATATCACATGCAAAGACACAAATAGGCTCAAAATAAAGGGATGGAGGAATATTTACCAAGCCAATGGAAAGCAAAAAAAAGCAGGGGTTGCAATCCTTGTCTCTGACAAAACAGACTTTAAACCAACAAACATCAAAAAAGACAAAGAAAGGCATTACATAACGGCAAAGGGGTCAATTCAACAAGAAAAGCTAACTATCCTAAATATATATGCACCCAATACAGGAGCACTCAGATTCATAAAGCAAGTTCTTAGAGACCTACAAAGAAACTTAGACTTCCACACAATAATAGTGGGAGACTTTAACACCTCACTGTCAATATTAGCTAGATCAGCGAGACAGAAAATTAACAAGGATATTCAGGACTTGGACTCAGCTCCGGACCGAGGGGACCTGACTGACATCTACAGAACTCTCCACCCCAAATCAACAGAATATACATTCTTCTCAGCACCACACAGCACTGATTCTAAAATCGACCACATAAATGGAAGTAAAACATTCCTCAGCAAATGCAAAATAATGGAAATCATAACAAACAGTCTCTCAGACCACAGTGCAATCAAATTAGAACTCAGGATTAAGAAATTCACTCAAAACCACGCAACTACACGGAAACAACCTGCTCCTGAATGACTATTAGATAAATAACGAAATTAAGGCAGAAACAAATAAGCTCTTCGAAACCAATGAGAACAAAGACACAACATACCAGAATCTCTGGGACACATTTAAAGCAGTGTTTAGAGGGAAATTTACAGCACTAATGCACACAGGCGAAAGTGGGAAAGATCTAAAACCGACACCCTAACATCACAATTAAAAGAACTAGAGAAGTAAGAGCAAACAAATTCGAAAGCTAGCAGAAGACAAGAAATAATTAAGATCAGAGCAGAATTGAAGGATATAGAGACATGAAAAACACTTTAAAAAAAAAATCAATGAATCCAGGAGCTGGTTTTTTGAAAAGATTAACAAAATAGACCACTAGCCAGACCAATGAAGAGAGAAGAATCAAATAGACACAATAAAAAATGATAAAGTGGATATCACCACTAATCCCATAAAAATACAAACTACCATCAGAGAATACTATAAACACCTCTATGCAAATAAACTAGAAAATCTAGAAGGAATGGATAAATTCCTGGACACATACACCCTCCCAAGACTAAACCAGGAAGAAGTCGAATCCCTGAATAGTCCAATAACAAGTTCTGAAATTGATGCAGTAATTAATAGCCTACCAACCAAAAAGAGCCCAGATGGCTCACAGCCGAATTCTACCAGAGGTACCATTCCTTCTGAAACTATTCCAAACAACAGAAAAAGAAGGACTCCTCCCTAACTCACTTTATGAGGCCAGCTTCTTCCTGAAACCAAAACCTGACAGAGACACAACAAAAAAAGAAAATTTCAGGCCAAGATCCCTGATAAACATGGACGCGAAAATCCTCAATAAAATTCTGGCAAACCGAATCCAGCAGCACATCAAAAAGCTTATCCACCATGATCAAGCAGGCTTCATCCCTGGGATGCAAGGTTGGTTCAACATATACAAATCAATAAACATAATCCATCACATAAACAGAACCAATGACAAAAATCACATGATTATCTCAACAGATGCAGAAAAGGCTTTCAATAAAATTCACCTTCATGCTAACCACCCCTTCATGCTAAAAACACCCAATAAACCAGGAACAGTTACGGAATATATGGAATAGTTATGGAATAGTTATGAATAGTTATGGAATAGTTATGACAAACTCATAGCCAGTGTCATACTCAATGGGGAAAAGCTAGAAGCATTAACTTTGAAAACCGGCACAGCAGAAGGCTGCCCTCTCTCACCACTCCTATTCAACATAGTACTGGAAGTTATGGCCAGGGCAATCAGGCAAGAGAAAGAAATAAAGGGTATTCAAATAGGAAGAGAGGAAGTCAAATTCTCTCCGTTTGCAGTTAACAAGATTGTATATTTTGAAAACTCCATCATCGCAGCCCCAAATCTCCTTAAGCCGATAAGCAACTTCAGCAAAGTCTCAGGATACAAAATCAATGCGCAAAAATCACAAGCATTCCTACATACCATTAACAGACAATCAGAGAGCCAAATCATGAGTGAACGCCCATTCACAACTGCTACAAAGAGAATAAAATACCTAGGAATACAACTTACAAGAGATGTGAAGGACCTCTTAAAGGAGAACTACAAATTACTGCTCAAGAAAATAAGAGAGGACCCAAACAAATGGAAAAACACTCCATGCTCATGGATAGGAAGAATCAATATCATGAAAATGCCCATACTGCCCAAAGTAATTTATAGATTCAATGCTACCCCCATCAAGCTACCATTGACTTTCTTCACAGAATTAGAAAAAAACTACTTTAAATTTCATATGGAACCAAAGAAGACCCGTATAGCCAAGACAATCCTAAGCAAAAAGAACAAAGCTGGAGGCATCATGCTACCTGACTTCAAACTATACTACAAGGCTACAGCAACCCTAAACAGCAGGGTACTGGTACCAGAACAGATACATAAACCAATGGAACAGAACAGAGGCCTCAGAAATAACACCACACATCTACAACCATCTGCTCTTTGACAAACCTGACAAAAACAAGCAGTGGGGAAAGGATTCCCTATTTAATAAATGGTGTTGGGAAAACTGGCTAGCCATATGCAGAAAACTCAAACTGGACCCCTTCCTTATACCTAATACAAAAATTAACTCAAGATGTAAGACTTAAACGTAAGACCTAAAACCATAAAAACCATAGAAGAAAACCTAGGTAATACCATTCAGGACGTAGGCATGGGCAAAGACTTCATGATTAAAACACCAAAAGCAACGGCAACAACAGCCAAAATTGACAAATGGGATCTAATTAAACTAAAGAGCTTCTGCACAGCAAAAGAAACTATCATCAGAGTGAACAGGCAACCTACAGAATGGGAGAAAATTTTGCAATCTATCCATCTGACAAAGGGTTAATATCCAGAATCTACAAGGAACTTAAATAAATTTACAAGAAAAAACAAACGACCCCATCAGAAAGTGGGCAAAGGATATTAACAGACACTTCTCAAAAGAAGACATTTATGCGGCCAACAAACAAATGAAAAAAAGCTCATCATCACTGCTCATTAGAGAAACGCAAATCAAAACCACAATGAGATACCATCTCACTCCAGTTACAATGACGATCATTAAAGAGTCAGGAAACAACAGATGCTGGAGAGGATGTGGAGAAACAGACACCTTCACACTGTTGGTGGGAGTGTAAATTAGTTTAACCATTATGGAAGACAGTGCAGCAATTCCTCAAGGAACTAGAACCAGAAATAGCATTTGACCCACCAATCCCATTACTGGGTATATACCCAAAGGATTACAAATCATTCTACTATAAAGGCACACACACACATATGTTTACTGCAGCACTATTTACAATACCAAAGACTTGGAACCAACCCAAATGCCCATCAATGATAGACTGGATAAAGAAAATGTGGCACATACACACCATGGAATACTATGCAACCATAAAAAAGTATGAGTTCATGTCCTTTGCAGGGACATGGATGAAGCTAAAAACCATCATTCCCAGCAAACTAACACAGGAACAGAAAACCAAACACCATATGTTCTTGCTCATAAGTGGGAGGTGAACAATGAGAACACATGGACCCAGGGAGGGGAACATCTCACACTGGGGCCTGTTGGGGGCTGGGGGCAAGGGGATGGATAGCATTAGGAGAAATACCTAACGCATGTGGGGCTTAAAATCTAGATGACAGGTTGATGGGTGCAGCAAACCACCATGGCACATGTATACCTATGTAACAAACCTGCACGTTGTGCACATGTATCCCCAGAACTTAAAGTATTAAAAAAGAAAAGAAAAAAGAGAGAGACAAGAAAAAGAAAAACAACCCTATTAAAAAGTGGGCAAAGGACATGAAAAGACACTTCTCAAAAGAAGACATTCATGCAGCCAACAAACATAAGAAAAAAAAGCTCAACATCACTGATTAGAGAAATGAAAATCAAAACCACAATGAGATACCGTCTCACGCCATTCACAATGGCAATTATTACAAAGTTAAGAAACAGACCAGGCGCAGTGGCTTACGCCTGTAATCCTAGCACTTTGGGAGGCCAAGGTGGGTGAATCACGAGGTCAGGAGTTTGAAACCAGCCTGGCCAGCATGGTGAAACCTTGTTTCTACTAAACAAAAAATTAGCTGGGCATGGTGGTGCACACCTGTAGTCCCAGCTACTCGGGAGGCTGACGCAGGAGAACTGCTTGAAATTGGCAGGCAGAGGTTAAAGTGAGTCATGTTAGTGCCACTGCACTCCAGCCTAGGCAACAGAGCGAGACTCCATCTCAAAAAAAAGAAAAGAAAAAGAAAAAAAGAAAGAAACAATAGATGCTGGCGAGGTTGAGGAAAGACAGGAATGCTTTTACGCTATTGGTGAAAATGTAAATTAGTTCAACCATTGTGGAAGATGGGGTGGCAATTCCTCAAAGAGCAAGAACCAGAAATACCATTTGACCCAGCAATCCCATTACAGGGTATATGCTCAAAGGAATATAAATCATTATATTACAAAGACACACGCACATGTATGTTCACTGCAGCACTATTCACAATAGCAAAGACAAGGAATCAACCCAAACCAAATACCACATGCTCTCACTTGTAAGTGAACAATGAGAACACATGGACACAGGGAGGGAAACAACACACTCTGGGGCCTTTCACAGGGTGGGGTGGGGGGAAGGGGAGCATTAGGAAAGATGGCTAATGCATGCTGGGCTTAATACCAAGGTGATGGGTTGACAGGTGCAGCAAACCACCATAGCACATATTTACCTATGTAACAAAGCTGCATATCCTACATATGTATCCTGGAGCTTAAAAATTAAAATGAAATAAATAAATAAAAGTCCTTCAATCCCTAATATAAAAAATTTGATATCTGTTAACATCACCTTTTAAAATCCTAACCAGGAATTCCATTTTTTATAACACTGATTAAATTACATAATGTTACTCTTAGAGAAACACCTTAGAAGAAAAATAGCAGACCCATTTGAGATAAAAGACATGTTCTCCTGTTGTCTTTAAATTATAGCAATGTACTTAGTAACAGAAAAGAAATCCATTTCCTAAATTTAGACGCTGCTTCTCCCAACTTCTCACAACCATGAGAACACCAAAGAAAGGCATGAGAAACTAACAAACTATAATGAGCGTGTACATTATTATTTGAGGGGAATGGGATGGAGATCATTTAGAAATGCTTTTGGCTTTTCGCAGCTCTAAGTGTAAAAATTCAGTTCCTAGAAAACTGTCAGTTGCTAATAAAGAATCTCAGAACTCTAACAAGTGATACTACCGTGTCATAAAAAATAAATCACAAGATACACTTTTTGGTGACAAAATCTTTTGAGTTTCTTAACATTATGGGGTAAAATGGTTGTGAGTTTATCAGGTCTTTTTGGCCCTATAAATCATAGTACATGTTATAAGTCATCCTCTTAATACTAATGTATCAATTTTTATCACAATTCATTTGGTAAACAGGATAATTCTGCAAAGTATTGAAAATTGCAAAGTTCTGAGCCAGCAACAAATTAGATTTCCACCCACATGGTGGTTAATCAGTCCCATGTACAGAGAGAAAGGAAACTGGATATAATGATTCTAAAAGCATTTTAAAGAATGTATTAGTGAACAACGAATCCTCAATGCCTGACACCTCGATGGTTTCCTGAAAGCACCAGTGAACCATGTAGCGTATATCCCAGTTAGCATGTTCAGCAATCAGGGGTTGTTACAGAGCTTACCAGTATAACAGCATGTATACAAGCCACACACAACAACTCACAGAAGCTCACAAGCCTCCCCACACCTTTGACTCTAATCCTCCTCCTGCAAAAATAGAAGAAAAAATATGACAACAGACATGTGAACACAAAACTGAAACTGAACAGAAAAGGGAAGATATTAGCTTAGATATGAGACATAAGAAAAAGTATGCTCCAGAATCTTTTTAAATCAAGAGGCATTGTGGGAGGCCCCCAAGATTCCCACTCCCTGATGTACCCGCCCTGTATAATCCTCCCCCATCCAGTGTGGATGGGACCGTGAACAGGACAAAGACAAGTCCTGTGACGAAGTTACATTTAATCAGAAATATGAATGGATTCTGCAGATTTAATTAAGTTCCCCCATCAGTTGGTTCTGAGTTTATCAAGAGGGAAATTATCGTGGATGGGCTTGACTTCAAAGGTGAGTTCTTAGAAAAACCAGCCCCTTCCTAACAAGATCTGAAGTGTGAGAGATTCTCCTGCTGGCTCTGAAGAAATAAAATTTCATGTTGTAAAAGGGCCTATGGAGGGGGCCACATGGCAAGGACCTCAGAGCAGCCTCTGGAAGTAAAGTGTGGTCACCATCCAATCGCTAACAAGAAACAGGATCCTCAGTCATACTGCCACAAGGAAATGCCATCTGCCAACCGCCCTGTGCATTTGGAAGAGGACCCTAGCCTCAGATGAGATCACAGTCCCTGCAACACCTTGACTGTCACTGTGTGAAACAGTGAATGGAGAACTCAGCCACGCGGTCCTCAGACTGCTGCTGTAGAGACCCATGAGATCATCAATATATGTCACCTTAAACCACTAAAGTTGTGGTAATTCATTACACAGCAACAGAAAGCTAACAATCATCTACTGCACCTCTAGACATTCCCCTAAGTGATCCTGATGTTACATGACACTTGAAGTTACTCATTTCAATGGAGTGAAAAATGTGGGACATTCTAGTTAAGTGATCTTGACTGGCAGTTAAAGTTTCAGAAGTCCTACAATATTTTCTGACTTACAGCCTAATCTTACCTGGAAGGCATCTTGCTGATTATCTGATCCAGCCACCTCACTTTTAGCCAAGACTAAGAGAGGGAGCTAGCCTCCCCAGGTTCACAGGGCTAACGAGCAGCAGAGGACGAGCCACAGCCCAGTTCCTCCAACACAGTTAGCTGTTCCCAGAAGTCTTTCCTTAAAGGTGGCTGCGCCTTAAAGATACTTGCAGTTGTGCTTGACTAGAGAGGGGGAGAGAAGTATATCTCCTCTCTGATACTGTAGTAAAATGGCCATAAAATAAATACTGAATGCTTTAGAAAAGTGGAGTACAAAGCCAATATTTCAAAGGATTCAAAGACTAAAAGCAGTATTAAAGATGTCAACAGTGACTAGACCATGATAACTACTATATTATAATGTCTTCTGCATCTTTCAACCTCCCAGGGGACATTTAAATTGTCACTACTCACGGGAGGTGCTCCTGGTATCTAGTGGGTAGAGGCCAGGGATGCTGCTACACAGCCTGGAATGCAAAGGGGGGTCCCCATGGACACAATCCACAGCCCCTTAAACTCTGCTCTAAGGCATCAGTTATCTTTCTTTATCCCTGCTGACTCCCTAGCACTGAGACACTGAACACATGGCGTGCACCACCTGTGCTCCCTTACACACTCAGAAGGCAAAGCTCTCCCATATCTCAATTTTCTTTGGCTTGGGCTTTAATCACTGTTCTTTGGTTTGAACTTAAATATGGGCTAACCTTTTCACCAAGTTGTATCTAGCTCTAATACACAAGCACACCTGCCCAGCTCAATGTTGCTTCTGACAGACAAAGCCAAAACACTATTATGCATACTTGATTTTAACTAATGTATGTTTTACACATGAATCAAAATCTGGTGACCTATCAGCAAAGGCCTAGTGGAGTATGAGTGTGCAGAACACATGGTGGAGAACCGCTGCTTACTCTAAACTGCTGGCAGCAAATAAGTATTACATGACCCAAAAAAATGATATCGATGACTAGAATGAGAAAAGTGTCAAAACAACAGGAAGTGGCAGGGACTCTGATGACATGGAGAGCAGTTTCTGTCAAAACAAGCAGCCGCTACTCTGTTCTAGACAATTACTGCCATGCAGAAATGTAGGCCCACTATGACCAGATACCCAGATTGTCCAAGAAAACTTGGATAACTGGAGTTGTATATGAAACCACTCAATTTTAACATGTTAGCTTGTAGTTTGCAAAAACCTTGAGTCCAACATTTTGGGCCACGTCTTTGAAATTTATGGTCTAGAGATTGTAAGAGCAAATGAAGAGGTGCCAAGTGGGCAAATTCAGAGGGAGGAAGGTTCAGGATATACTTCTGCACAACAGATGGAGTATTAGAGACACTGGGGATAAAGCTAAGTGATAGGCCTTGGATGAGGCCAACAAGTTTCAGAGGAGCTGCTAGTGATATTATCATCATTATCATCACAACAATAATCATAAATTATAACATTTATATAGGACTGTATTTCAGGCACTGTCCTAAGCACTTCATATGCAGGAACACATGTAATTTTCCCAACAACCTTATGAGGTTGGTATTATTGTTACTCTCATCTTACAGAGGAACAAAATAAGTCAGTTTAAATAACTTGCCTAAGGCCACATGGCTAAGTACTGGAGCTGGGATTTGAATCCAGATAGGCTACCTTCAGACTCCATGTTTCTAATTACCCCCGTCACAATTCTAATGCTTGTATCTGTAGGCTTTTAATTCTGTATCTCTCTGTAACTACATATAAAATGTGTTTCATCCACCTAAGTTCTGAATGGTAACATGTAGATAGGAAAAGACTAAAACAATGCTTAAGGTACTCCGTCTAAACACGTATAGAAATGGAAGCATTTTTCCCAAATGAAAATGTTAGCCCCTGCTCTCTATAAATTATGTTGGCCTAGTAGGATTCAGTCCCTCTTGTTAAAGTTTTACTTTCTAATGACATTCTTGGCTTCTGCTTACATAAAAATACTAACAAACAGATGCAGAAGTCACACTCTCCGGCATGGAAGTCAAAAGGCATAGACGAATTGGTTGTGCCCTCCAACCAGAGTGGGAACTGTGGCAAACAATTCTAACGCCCATCAAAGATGCAAGGCATGAACTTGTCCTACACACTGTGGCAGCATTATTACTAAATTCCTTAAAAAGTCTGTATAAAAATCTGTAACAACTTGGCAAGCAAAATTACACTTCAAAGCAGCTAGTATGTAAATTAACTTCACATTTCACTTCATTTTAAAACAAGAGAAATTGCTATAATAAATTCAGGGAAACTGGCAATTTTGAGTTGAATACTAAAAAGAAAAGTAAATTTTCACCTTTACATGAGATCTACTATTTTTTATTCTTCATGAACCCTATCTTCCATTTCAGAATCCAATTATTTGAGGACACAATGAGTTCTATCATCATTTTATTCTGGCAGGTCAAACACTGGTCCAATATTATAAAAATGCATAGACTTTATTGAGACATAAAAAGCAACAAAGTATTTTCAATGCCGTAATTCCCAAATCTGCTTAGAAATCCAAACAAGTAATTTTTAAGTAGAATTTTAAATTGTGTTGGAAAAAACAAAAAACTCTGCATATACAGAAGCATAAATACAGATTAACAAGTGAATGCAACAAGATACTAAAATATAATACACGTGTTAGCAATCATTTTGAAGAAAGCACTAAAAATATCAGTACTAGTCCACCTCCCTTTAGTATATGCTACAGTCTAAAATATTTATATTTCCTTCTTTCTAGAAAATTATACTGCTCAAACTTTTTTTCATGAAGCAAAAAGGAAAAAGTCTCTCTCAAAATGCTATGCAAATATGCAGAAACCATGACATTATCCCTAGGAGGATGTATATAAATCCTTATTCTGTTATGGATCTTAAAAACAAAAAACGAGCATCAGCGACACCACCACCAAAGGACTCTTTAAGAAAGTACTTTTAAGATTTTAATTGTTCAAAATTGTTTAAGACAAATAGGAAAAGGTAATTTGAAATATATGCAAAGAACAAGAAATTTTACTTGTGGCTAATTCAATTATTTCCTTTGGAAAAGAATAAAGTTCAAATCATATTGCCAATGTCACTATAACTAAAATCTGACCATTACAAAAGGTCTCCCAAACTGCAGTCAATGGCCTGCTCACTTCAAGTAATATTGGTAATGGCTAAATTCCAGTATAACACCAAAAAAAAAAAAAAAAACAAAACAAAAAAACCCTAGCCTAGAAGTCCACTGGAGTTCACTGTAACGGGATTTAAGCTATAATTAAATTTGATTAGCTTGGTTCAAACCTCAAGTTCAAAAGACTTATCAGCATGAATGGATGAAAAACCCTTTTACACGGGCATTTTGAAAATATGAAAAGGGCTGACACAGCAAGCTTCAAAGACTTTAAAAGCAATTGACCCTTCCCAGAGCAAAGGAGAAACGCTAACAGCTGAAACTCAGATGCTGCGTGCAAAGAAAATAAAGTTCCAGATGGCTCAAAAGCCTGGTAGTTTATTAAATATTAAATACTATTATTTTTAACTGGATTTTTGCCCAGAGATAGCCAAATATGTCACCCATAAAATGTGAAAAAGCAGTATGATACCATCCCCTGAAAAACTGAAGCAAATAAATATTTTCTTTTTCAAAAACTACCCGCATGTGGAAGTTTCTCAAGGAGTTATACAAACAACCATGACAGTCAAACAATCAAGACGTTTAATAAAAAACAAAAACATCTATAACCTAAAAATCCAAATCAGTTTATTTCGAGACATTTAACTGTTACTCTATAAACACACACCTCATGCACACATACCCCCTTGGATCACATTATATTTTCATGCATGAAGAAAGGAGAAAAGTGAAAGAAGCAATAATAAATATGGACTACGGAACTGTGTTAGTGACTGGGGGTTAACATAGTTTTTACAAGTAGTTAAATATTAGTATGAAAGGATTATATATACAAAAGTTTGTTTGCCAAGCACATCGGCTCACACTTATAATCCCAGCATTTTCGGAGGCTGAGGTGAGCAGATCACTTGAGGCCAGGACTTCAAGACCAGCCTGGCCAACACAGCAAAACCCAGTCTCTACTAACACAAAAATTAGCCAGGCATGGTGGCACACATCTGTAGTCCCAGCTACTCGGGAGGCTGAGACATGAGAATCGCTTGGAACCCAGGAGGCGGAGGTTGCAGTGAGTCGAGACTGTGCCACTGCACTCCAGCCTGGGTGACAGAGGGAAACTTTGCCTCAAAAAAAAAGTTTGTTGTATGTATTCTTTTAAATACATACATGGAAATGGGTGCATATACACGCACATCAAATGAACTGTATACATACATATATAAACACACACACAGTAACAAATGTATACATAGGTACGTATTCATGTGTACACACACATACACACACACAAACCAAGGGTCCCTTTTCAACAAAATAAAGTTAGTTAACTAAGTTTACACACTGAGTTTTTAGATGGCACCTTCAAGTGAGTTTTTATGTTAAAATTTTTCCCTTGTTAGCATACTGTTTCTATGTAACTTGGGATCTGGGGGAGGGAAAAGACTGTTTTTCATGAAATAGAAACAACCTATGCCAAATGAAGCAGGTGTGAGATATCTCAAAGATGAAAGCAATTCTCCAAATAGCAACGTCATCCTGTAATGCTTTCTTGACATGTACAATTTTGCTATTCCTCTGACATTTATTACAAAGTACTGTGTTTGTGATCTTTCCTAACACAGATCAGTAGTGTGACTGGTGCTCATTTCTAGCAGCTTTTAGCACTGAGGAAAAAGTCAATTCAACACTGATGTCACTTAAAATGGGTAAGAAATCCAGCTACAGCAGAGGCTGCTGTGCCCCTTAAATGCTCTTTTCTTAAGACACTTTCTTCACAAGCAAATTAATTCTTAATGTAATTCTTTTATTCTGAAAACTGTTTATTACAAATCATCAGTTTTGAAATAATTCAAAGTGATCTCCCACCAAAAAAAGAAAACCCCACAAAGAAATAAATCATATTTACTTTTCTGTCCATTAAAAATATGCTGAAAGTGACACAGATGTACCTCTCAGAAATTTCTCATTATATTAAAACTTATCCACAATTTATGACAAGGAGTTTTACTAGAGAAAATATTAATTTCACCAGCTTAGTAATAATATCCAACATTTCATTTTCCTCCTGATATACCTATCAAATGGTTTTGGTATTTAAGCTCTTCTTTTTTTCAAAACAGAAGAAAATCTGTTAACTGAACTTTGTATCACCTAGTCCAGTGGTTCTCACACTTCAGAATGCATCAGAATCATGCAGAGGGTGTATAACACAAATTCTGGGCCTCACCCCAAGTTTCTGATTCAGAAGATCTCAAGTGGGGACTTAGATTCTGCATTTCTAGCAAGTTCCTAGGGAATGCAGCTGCTATTCGTGGAGGGACTGTACTTTGGGAACCAATGATCTACTCAGTATTTTCCTTCTTTTCATAATTTGCAAATTTGATAACGAGGAAATGATATGCTATATCCTTTAAAGACAGACATCTTTTGAGAACTTAGAATTAAAGAGAAATTGACAAAAAGGAAATCTAATCTAAGGCACAGCACAGCCCTCAAAGATGATCTAGTCTAGGATTCAGAAAACTTTTTCTGTAAAGAGTCAGATAATAAATAGCTTAGGCTTTATGGTCCATACAGTCTCTGTTACAACTACTCAACTCTGCCACTGTTGTGTGAAAGCAGACAGACAATACATAAATGAAAGAAAGTGGCTGCATGCCAATAAAGCTTTATTACAAAAACAGGCTGTGATCTGGATTAGGCCCACAGGTCATAGTTTACCAACTATTTTTTAAAAAAGGAAATCAATACCCAGAGAGATTAAACAACTTCAAAAGGCACAAGATAGCGAGTGGCAAAACTGCAACTAGACCTTCAGTGTCCTGATGTCTGATGTACTAAGGAAGCTACTGTTATAGTAATATTTTGATAAAGAACAGCCACAAATGGAATGCATTACAAAACCTCATGTAGCTTAATGATCAAAAAGAAAAAATGACTTTACTAAGCAAAAGAGCATCTCAGTTCTAGAATTAATGCCAGACATTCTTTTTTTTTTTTTTTTTTTTGAGATGGAGTTTCACTGTTGTTGACCAGGCTGGAGGGCAATGGCACGATCTTGGCTCACTGCAACCTCCACCTCCCGGATTCAAGCAATTCTCCTGCCTCAGCCTCCCGAATAGCTGGGATTACAGGCACCCACAACCATGCCCAGCTATTTTTTTTGTATTTTTAATAGAGATAGGGGTTTCATCATGTTGGCCTGGCTGGTTTTGAACTTCTGACCTCAGGTGATCCACCCGCCTCAGCCTCCCAAAGTGCTGGGATTACAGGCGTGAGCCACCGCACCTCGCTCAATGCCAAACATTCTTATTCTTATTATTACTTATAAATGGGAGGCTTCCACCATTGGACAACAATCTGGACTCTTGTCACATGGCTTCCTGCAGCCTACACTAGGTTGGAGCAGGGCCTACGCCAGTCAAGCCTTCTGTTCAGGGAGTGTGGAAAACAGAATCGAGGACTTCTCAGTTCTTACCCTCTTGGTCCTGCACCTTTCTCATCCCATCTGCAATCCATTTTATGCCATTCGTTAAAAAAATTCTTCCCAGTACTAAAATTATGGTTAAGAGCCAAAAGAGGTAGTAAACTATGAAACTTAAGTTAAAAACAATGCTTCTGTTCAAAGTTTTATTTTCATTCTAGTGATTAAATAATTATTAAGTTAAATATAATATTTAGCTAATAAAAGTAAAGCAGACATTTATCTTCACTACTTAGATACCTAAAAGTATACTATGCATACACACACAATACATTCACATATGAACACATACTCCCTATGCTTTCATAGTTGCCAAAGCTTTTACTCTTAAAACTGATTATTTAAATAAGCAATATATTTTAGCAATTAATAAAGTAAATTTTATGTATGGCCTTACAACTATTTTATGACAGTTTATTTTTAAAAATAAAGCAAATGCATGTATATCAGGAAAATAAAATAACTTGATTTTAAGTATCTGAGATAAAGTTTTGAACATGTTTGATGTACTCTAAACCATGCATGGAAAAGCATCTGTTATTTACAGATCAAAGCAAACCTGAGTATCCTAAAACAACTAGAGTGAAAAATTCCCAAATTTAATTTCATCCCTGTCCACATGCTTCTTTGAACTAATAATTCAGAGAATTGGTCAGTATGTTGAACTAATTAGCATGCTTAATGCTTGCCAACTTTGATGGCTCCAATTCTTTAAGAAATTTTTTTTTTATTTTCCAAGACGGAGTCTTGCTCTGCCACCCAGGCTGCAGTGCAATGGTGCGATCACGGCTCATTGCAACCTCCGCCTCCCGGGTTCAAGCTATTCTCCTGCCTCAGCCTCCTGAGTAGCTGGGATTACAGGTGCCTGCCACCATGCCCAGCTAATTTTTGTATTTTTATTAAAGATGAGGTTTCACCATGTTGGTCAGGCTGGTCTCGAACTCCTGACCTCGTGATCCACCCATCTCGGCTTCCCAAAGCTGGGATTACAGGCGTGAGCCACCGTGCCCAGACAAGAAATGGAATTTAAAAAATAGTTTTAAAAACACACACATGGCCGGGCACGGTGGCTTGCACCTGTAATCCCAGCACTTTGGGAGGCCAAGGCAGGCGGATCACGAGGTCAGGAGTTCAAGATCAGCCTGGCCAGCATGGTGAAACCTCGTCTCTATTAAAAATACAAAAAATCTTCGGGAGGCCGAGGTGGGCGGATCACGAAGTCAGGAGATCAAGAGCATTCTAGCTAACATGGTGAAACCCCGTCTCTACTAAACACACAAAAAATTAGCTGGGCTTGGTGGTGGGCACCTGTAGTCCCAGCTACTCAGGAGGCTGAGGCAGAAGAATGGCGTGAACCCGGGAGGCGGAGCTTGCAGTAAGCCGATCGTACCACTGCTCTCCAGCCTGGGCAACAGAGCGAGACTCCATCTCAAAAAAAAAAAAAAAACAAAAATACAAAAAATTAGACAGGTATGGTGGCATGCGCCTGTAATCCCAGCTACTCAGGAGGCTGAGGCAGGAGAATTGCTTGAACCCGGGAGGCAGAGCTTGCAGTGAGCTGAGATCGCGCCACTGCACTCCAGCCCAGCCAAAAGTGCGGGACTCCGTCTCAAAAAAAACACACAAGCAAATTTGAGAAAATGCAAAGGCCATCCAAGTTGGCAAAATCATATATACTGAATAATGCCTCAAGATGCCTCAAAACATGAGTGATGCCTGTTTAACATCCTCTGAGTTACAAAATAGGTTGTAAACTGTTTTGGGGTTTTTGATTTGCATGAGATAAATCAACTTTTTTTATTCTGTATCCAACCAGTTTTTATGAGATTCAGCATACGTCTAACTTTATTTTAATATAAAGAACAGCAGTAAAGTGTTTTTGATAAGAAGTTAACAGTTTATATTTTTTAATTGCAATGAGAGTAAATTCATTTGAGATCTTTTAAATGTAATCCTACAACTAAGAGCCAAAAGCAAAGTGGATTCTTTACTGTCCACAAACTGGAGCATCATGGTCATTTTTGCTACAAAGACTTTCCTAACAATTACGTGTGGTAATCAGTAAATGACCCATAGTAAATAGGTTACTACATAGTAGACAGAGTGTTAACTAGCTAATTACACCTTTTTCTTTTGTCCTACTGCTACATGAATTTTTTTAAAAGTTCTATTTAATGCTGATATTCTAAGACTACTCATTTCTATAATTTATATGAGAACATCACACAGAGCCTTCCAAACAAATTCCACCTTGACTCGCAATTTTATTTTCTCCCTCTAACTTGAGGAGTTATGCATGAAATAAATAAATAAACAAATACTACATGATTATCTCAATAGACACAGAAAAGGCTTTCAATAAAATTCAACACCACTTCATGTTAAAAACTCAGTAAATGACATGATCATATATCTAGAAAACCCCATAGTCCCGGCCCAAAAGCTCCTTATGCTGATAAACAACTTCAGCAGAGTCTCAGGATACAAAATCAACGTACAAAAATCACTAGCATTCCTATACACCGGCAAGCCAAGAGACCTATCAGGAATGAACTCCCATTCACAACTGCCACAAAAAGAACAAAATACCTAGAAATCCAGCTAACCAAGGAGGTGAAAGATACTACAAGGAGAACTAGAAAACACTGCTCAGAGGTATCAGAGATGACACAAGCAAATGAAAAAACACTCCATGCTTATGAGTAGGAAGAATCAATATTGTGAAAACGGCCATACTGCCCAAAGCAATTTATATAATAGATTCAACCCTATGCCTATTAAACTACCACTGACATTCTTCACGGAACTAGAAAAAAACTATTTTAAAATTCATATGGAACAAAAAAAAAGAGCCCAGGTAGCCAAGGTAATCCTAAGCAAAAAGAACAAACTTAAAGGCCTCACACTACCAGACTTCAAGCTCTATTACAGGGCTACAACTCCATTACTGAGTATATACCCAAAGGAATATTAATCCTTCTATCATAAAGACACATGCACACGTATGTTCACTGCAGCACTATTCACAACAGCAAAGACATGGAATCAACCTAAATGCCCGTAATAAAACACTGGATAAAGGAAATGTGGTACATATATACCATGAATACTATACAGCCGTAAGAAAAAACGACATCACTTCCTTTGCAGGAATATGGATGATGCTAGAGGCCATTATCCTTTGCAAACTAATGCAGAAAGAGAAAACCAAATACCACATGTTCTCATTTATAATTGCGAGCTAAATGATGAGAACACATAGATCCACGGAGGGGAATAAGAGACACTGCAGCCTATCGGACGGTGGAGGCTGGGAGGAGGGAGAGGATCAGGAAAAAAAAAAAAAACTAATGGGCACAAGACTTAGTACCTGGGTGGCAAAATAATCTGTACAACAAACCTCCATGACACAAGTCTCCCTACATAACAAACCAGTACATGTACCCCTGAACCTAAAGTAAATTTAAATTTTAAAAAAAAAGAATTAACAAAAATCCCAACCCCAAAGGGGTGTTTGGTGTATATGATTTCATGAAGAAAGCCCAGGCTCAATGTTTTAGTACCATTCAAAGTACAAGTAAAAAATACTCCTTAAAGGCAGTTAAGCACACTTTTTAAAAATAACGCTTTCCGCGTTGGCTCCAGCAGCACATACACTAAAATTGGAACAATACAGAGAAGATTAGCATGGGCCCTGTGCAAGGATGACATGCAAATTCGTGAAGCTTTCCACATTTTTAGAACTTCATAAAGTATACACAAGTATTAATAGCCAAATAGATCAAGCAGAAGAAAGGATATCAGAGACTGAAGATCAACTTAATGAAATAAAATGTGAAGACAAGATTAGAGAAAAAAAGAATGAAAAGGAACAAACAAAGCCTCCAAGAAATATAGGACTATGTGAAAAGACCAAACCTACGTTTGATTGGCACACCTCAAAGTGACGGGGAGAATGGAACAAAGTTGGAAAATACTCTGCAGGATATTATCCAGGAGAACTTCCCCAACCTAGCAAGAGAGGCTAACATTCAAATTCAGGAAATTCAGAGAACACCACTAAGATACTCCTCGAGAAAGAGCAACATAATCGTCAAGATTCACAAAGGTTGAAATGAAGGAAAAAATGTTAAGGGCAGCCAGAGAGAAAGGTCGGGTTACCCACAAAGGGAAGCCATCAGACTAACAGCAGGTCTCTCTGCAGAAACCCTACAAGCCAGAGGAGAGTGGAGGCCAATATTCAACATTCTTAAAAGAATTTTCAACCCAGAATTTCAAATCCAGCCGAACTAAGCTTCATAAGCAAAGGAGAAATAAAATCCTTTATGGACAAGCAAATGCTGAGAGACTTTGTCACCACCAGGCCTGGCTTATGGGAGCTCCTGAAGGAAGCACTAAATATGGAAAGGAACAACTGGTACCAGCCACTGCAAAAACATACCAAATTGTAAAGACCGTCAACACTACGAAGAAACTGCATCAATTAATAGGTTATTTTGCCTAGCATCGTAACAACAGGATCACATTCACACATAACAATATTAATCTTAAATGTAAACAGGCTAAATGACCCCAACTAAAAGACACAGAATGGCACACTGGATAAAGAGTGAAGACCCATCAGTGTGCTGTATTCAGGAGGCCCATCTCATGTGCAAAGACACAAATAGGCTCAAAATAAAAGGATGGAGGAATATTTACCAAGCAAATGGAAACCAAAAAAAATCAGCGGTTGCAATCCTAGTCTCTGACGAAACAGACTTTAAACCAACAAACATAAAAAAAGACAAAGAAGGGCATTATGTAGCGGTAAAGGGATCAACGCAACAAGAAGAGCTAACTATCCTAAATACATATGCACCCAATACAGGAGCACCCAGATTCATAAAGCAAGTTCTTAGAGACCTACAAACAGACTTAGATGCCCACACAACAACAGTGGGAGACTTTAACACCAACTGTCAATATTAGACAGATCAACAAGACAGAAAATTAACAAGGATATTCAGGACTTGAACTCAGCTCTGGACCAAGGGGACCTAATAGACATCTACAGAACTCTCCACCCCAAATCAAAAGAATATACATTCTTCTGAGCAACACATCGCACTTATTCTAAAATTGACCACATAATTGGAAGTAAAACACTCCTCAGCAAATGTAAAAAAATGGAAATCATCATAGTCTCTCAGATCACAGTGCAATCAAATTAGAACTCAGGATTAAGAAACTCATTCAAAACCGCACAACTACATGGAAACTGAACAACCTGCTCCTGAATGACTACTGGTTACAAAACGAAATTAAGGGAGAAATAAATAAGTTCTTTGAAACTGATGAAAGCAAATACACAACGTACCGGAATCTCTGGGACACAGCTAAAGCAGTGTTTTAGACGCATATTTATAGCACTAAATGCCAACAGGAGAAAGCAGGAAAGATCTAAAATAGACATGCTAACATCACAATTAAAAGAACTAGAGAAGAGCAAACAAATTCAAACGCTAGCAGAAGACAAGAAATAACTACGAGCAGAAATGAAGGAGAAAGAGACACAAAAAAACCCCCCAAAAACACAATTAATTTAGGAGCTGATGTTTTGAAAAGGTTAACAAAATAGACCACTAGCCAGACAAATAAAGAAGAAAAGAGAGAAGAATCAAACAGACACAATAAAAAGTGATAAAGGGGATATCACCACTGAACCCACAGAAATACAAACTACTATCAGAGAATACTATAAACACCTCTATGCAAATAAACAAGAAAATGTAGAGGAAATGGATAAATTCCTGGACCCATACACCCTCCCAAGACTAAACCAGGAAGAAGGTGAATCTCTGAATAGACCAATAACAGGCTCTGAAATTGAGGAAGTAATTAATAGCCTACAAACCAAAAAAGGCCCAGTACCAGACGGATTCACAGCCGAATTCTACCAGAGGTACAAAGAGGAGCTGGTACCATTCCTTCTGAAACTATTCCAAACAATAGAAAAAGAGGGGCTCCTCCGTAATTCATTTTATGAGGCCAACATCATCCTGATACCAAAACCTGGCAGAGACACAACAAAAAAAGAAAATTTCAGGCCAATAACCCCGATGAACATGAATGTGAAAATCCTCAATAATATACTGGCAAACCGAATCCAGCAGCACACCGACAAGCTTATCCACCATGATCAAGTCAGCTTCATCCCTGGGATACAAGGCTGGTTCAACATATGCAAATCAACAAATGTAATCCATTACATAAACAGAACCATGACAAAAACCACATGATTATCTCAAATGATGCAGAAAAGGCCTTCAATAAAATTCAACATCTCTTCATGCTAAAAACTCTCAATAAACCAGGCATTGATGGGACGTATCTCAAAATATTATGAGCTGTTTATGACAAAACCACAGCCTGTATCATATTGAATGACCAAAAGCTGGAAGCATTCCCTTTGAAAACTGACATAAGACAAAGATGCCCTCTCTCACCACTCCTATTCAACAGAGTATTGGAAGTTCTGGCCAGGGCAATCAGGCAAGAGAAACAAATAAACGGTATTCAAATAGGAAGAGAGGAAGTCAAATTGTCTCTGTTTGCAGATGACATAATTGTACATTTGGAAAACCCCATCGACTCTGCCCAAAATCTCCTTAAGCTGATAAGCAACTTCAGCAAAATCTCAGGATACAAAACCAATGTGCAAAAATCACAAGCATTTCCATACACCAATAATAGATAAACAGCCAAATAATGAGTGAATTCCCATTCACAATTGCTATAAAGGAAATAAAATACCTAGGACTACAACTTACAACAGATGTGAAGGACCTCTTCAAGGAGAACTACAAACCACTGCTCAAGGAAATAAGAGACCACACAAATAAATGGAAAAACATTCCATGCTCATGGATAAGAAGAATCATTAACGTGAAAATGGCCATACTGCTCAAAGTAATTTATAGATTCAATGTTATTCCCATCAAGCTACCATTGACTTTCTTCACAGAATTAGAAAAAACTACTTTAAATTTCATACGTAATCAAAAAAGAGCCTGCATAGCCTAGTCAATCCTAAGCAAAAGAACAAAGCTGGAGGCATCACGCTACCTGACTTCAAACTATACTACAAGGCACAGTAAACCAAAACAGCATGGTACTGGTACCAAAACACATATACAAACCCAAGGGACAGAACAGAGGCCTCAGAAATAACGCCACACATCTACAACCATCTGATCTTTGACAAACCTGAAAAAAGCAATGGGGGAAGGATTCCCTACTTAGTAAATGGTGTTGGGAAAACTGGCTAGCCATAAGCAGAAAACTCAAAATGGACCCCTTCTTTACTCTTTATACAAAAATTAACTCAAGATGGGTTAAAGACTTAAACGTTAGACCTAAAACCATAAAAACCATAGAAGAAAACCTAGGCAATACCATTCAGGACACAGGCATGGGCAAAGACTTCATGACTAAAACACCAAAAGCAATGGCAACAAAGCCAAAATTGACAAAGGGGATCTAATTAAACTAAAGAGCTTCTGCACAGCAAAAGAAACTATCATCAGAGTGAATAGGCAACCTACAGAATAGGAGAAAATTTTTGTAATCTATCCCTCTGACAAAGGGCTAATATCCAGAATCTACAAGGAACTTAAATTTACAAGAAAAAAACAAACAACCCCATCAAAAACTGGGCAAAGGATATGAACAGACACTTCTCAAAAAAAGACATTTATGTGGCCAACAAACATATGAAAAAATGCTCATCATCAATGGGCATTAGAGAAATGCAAATTAAAACCACAATGAGATACCATCTCATGCCAGATAGAATGACAATCATTAAAAAGTCAGGAAACAACAGATGCTGGAGAGGATGTGGAGAAATAGGAATGCTTTTACACTGTTGGTGGGAGTGTAAATTAGTTCAACCATTGTGGAAGACAGTGTGGCAATTCCTCAAGGATCTAGAACCAGAAATACCATTTGACCCAGCAATCTCATTACTGGGTATATACCCAACAGATTATATATCATTCTACTATAAAGACACATGCACAAGTATGTTTATTGCGGCACTATTCACAACAGCAAAGACTTGGAACCAACCTAAATGCCCATCAATGATAGACTGGATAAAGAAAATGTGGCACATATACATCATTGAATACTATGCAGCCATAAAAATGGATGAGTTCATGTCCTTTGCAGGGACATGGATGAAGTTGGAACCCATCATTCTCAGCAAAGTAACACAGGAACAGAAAACCAAACACTGCATGTTCCCACTCATAAGTGGGAGTTGAACAATGAGAACACATTGACACAGGGAGGGGAACATCACACACTGGGGCCTGTCGAGGGGTAGGGGATGGCTACAGGAGGGATAGCATCAGGATAAATACTTAATGTATAAGACGGGTTGATGGTTGCAGCAAACCACCATGGCACATGTATACCTATGTAACAAACCTGCACATTCTGCACATGTATCCCAGAACTTAAAGTTTAATTTTTTTAAAAAAAATGCTTTCCAATGTCAACATATCAATTCCTTTACTCTACCCTTCCTTTTTCTAAGTTGTCTAAAAGGACTGCCCAGAATTCAACTCATTCAGAGACAGGGATTCACTCCTTCACTGTCTATTTGTTCTTATCTTGTCAGTACTCCAACACTTTAAAATATCCAATTACTGAGTGTTCAACTACTAATGAACTGCTTTACAAATATCCATGAATTTCCACACACAAATAGGAGAAGCTGTCTAGGGGCAGAATCTCTCTCCTCTGTCCCATCCACACATGGCTAATTCTACACCTCTGTACCCTACACTTACTCTATAAATGTTTTCTGGTGAACTAAAAATTACTGGGTCACCACTTCAGTAACAATATTATTCTCAAAACTACAGCAAACGTTTGAGTGATAGTGTACAAAGAAAATTTCTATAATCTGTCCTCTGCATTAAAAACTTCACATTAATTCCATGATTTTTAGAGTTTCAATTCTAAGAAGGCAGTGCTACAATAAGAAGCAAATAATTTAGGTTCTAGGTTTATTTCAGCACAAAGTAAACAGTAATCTTAGCAACTCACTTCAGATTATGTATTTTATAGGATATTGTAAGGAAGACAACTCAAAGCAAAGATCCTTCGTGCTTGGATAAAACAAAATACACAGCACCTTTTCCTCATTCCCGTAGGTGAATGTTGAAATTATTTTTACTACATGATAATGCAACAGCAAGAATTTTAAAAACTAATGGCACAATCTATATAAGGAAGTAATAGTAACTATATTATGAATCAAAAAAGAGGAAGAACTGAGCTTCTAATCCACTGTCTACATATTAACAGTATAGTAATGCAAGAGAAAATAGGCATGTTCAGAAAAATAGAGACAGAAAAAAAGTGAAAGATACCGAATTATTGAACTGTAAAAACAGTGACTAAAAAGTCAGTCCTTTCTATCACTTAAAAAAGAAAAAGGAACAAAGAGATGTTTTAGGAGAGAAAAGACAGAAAACAGTTTGAGATTTTTTTTTTTTTTTTTTGAGACGGAGTCTCGCTCTGTCGCCCAGGCTAGAGTGCAATGGCGTGATCTGGGCTAACTGCAAGCTCCGCCTCCCAGGTTCACGCTATTCTCCTGCCTCAGCCTCCTGAGTAGCTGGGACTACAGGCGCCTGCCACCACGCCTGGCTAATTTTTTGTATTTTTAGTAGAGATGGGGTTTCTCCGTGTTAGCCAGGATGGTCTCAATCTCCTGACCTCGTGATCTGCCCACCTCAGCCTCTCAAAGCACTGGGATTGCAGGCGTGAGCCACCGCACCCAGCCTGCTTTGAGACTTTTTTAAGATAGCCATCATATCAATTAAAAAAAACAAACAGGCCAGGCACGGTGGCTCATGCCTGTAATCCCAGCACTTCAGGAGGCTGTGTTGGGCAGATCACATGAGGCCAGGGGTTCAACACCAGACTGGCCAACATGGTGAGACCCCGCCTCTATTAAAAATACAAAAATTAGCAGGGCATGGTGGTGCACACCTGTAATCCCAGCTACTCAGGTGGCATTTGAATCCAGAAGGGAGGCTGCAGTGAGCTGAGATCACGCCACTGCACCCCAGCCTTGGTGGCAGAGCAACACCCTTGTCTCGAGAAAAAGAAAATTAAATTAAAAAACGAAGGGAAAGGTCTCAGAAAATCAAAACATCATCTTTCAAGACTGGGATATTCAAAAATATGAAAACAAACACCTAAATAAAGAAAAATAAAGACATTGCTTGGAACCTATATATACAGATTCCTTAATATATATATTTCTTCCAGCTACAGACCCATACAAATCTGGCCAACTGATTTTTTTAAAAGATGCAAAAGCATTTCAGTGAGGAAAAAAAAAATCTTTTCAACAAATGCTGTTAGAATAACTAGACATCTATATATGCAAAAAACAAACTTTGAGCTAAACCTCACCCCTTAAATAAAAATCAACTCAAAATGGATTATAGATGTAAATGTAAAACATAGAGCTATAAAACTTTTAGAAGAAAACATGGGAGAAAACCTTAATGACTTAGAGTTAGGCAGAGTTCCTAGAGATGACATCCAAAGTACAATTCATAAAAGAAAAAATGAACTGAACTTTACCAAAATTTAAAACTTTAACTTTGCAAATAATACTGTTTAGAGAAATTACAAGTTACAGATTATTAGAAAATACTGCAAATCACCTAAGGGCAAAGGATGAGCATTCCAAATATATAAAGAACTTTCGAAACTCCCAAAGAAACCGTACAATTAAAAATGAGAAAAAGACTGAACAGATACTTCACGATAAAAAGATGCAAGGATGCCAAATAAGCATATGAAAAGATGTTCAACATCATTAGCCATTAGGGAACTGAAAATTAAAACCACTATGAGAAACAGCATCAACTCCTGGGAGTAGTTTGTTGGTCTTCCCTGCATTATTTCCCCTCTAGTAAGGGCAGGGTGCTTGTTTCTGTGGTTAGCTCCCAGAAGGGCAATGTGGTTCGTTCCAGGCCTCAGAAACACCAGAATACATCTGGCTTCAAATATAACAAGTTTTGGGCCAGGCGTGGTGGCTCATGCCTGTAATCCCAGCACTTTGGGAGGCCAAGGCAGGTAGATCACTTGAGGTCAGGAGTTGGAGATCAGCCTTGCTAACAGGGTAAAACCCCATCTCATTTAAAAATACAAAAATTAGCCAGGAGTGCTGGTGGGTGCCTGTAGTCCCAGCTACTCAGGAGGCTGACGCTGGAGAACCACTTGAACCCGGGAGGCAGAGGTTGCAGTGAGCCATGACTACACCACTGCACTCCAGCCTGGGATTATTTAAAAGAATTTATTACCTAGTATTACCAAACTAAACAAGATTCAGAATTGATAGCTGTATAAGAACTACCTTATGTAAAAGTAAGATGACATTATATTGGTAGCCTCAAAAATTGGTCCTCAGTAAGTGCCTTTGATAAATTTATCTCAGGTAAACAACTCACATAGCAAAAATCCCCTTACTTCGCTTGTTACAAAGCAAATGCAGGGTTTTTTAAAAAAAATAATAATAATGTTTAACAAGTGGATAGCAATCTTTCTTTGAAAGTATTTTTATATACCTCATTACACTGTTTTTACCTTTCTTCTCCTGTGAAATATGTATATGAAAAATGCATATAATTCATATGGATTGTTTAATAGATAATTATAAAGGAAAGCTCACACATTTACTCAGGTAAAGAAATGACCAGCACCAGAAGACCCCTACTAGGCTCTTCCTCAGCAAAAGTTCATCCTTCTTCCCAGAGTTGGTACTATCCTTAATTGTGGTATTTTCTTATCATTTTACTACCCATGTTTGTACTCCAAAACCATATAAATTAGCTTTAATCTGATTTTTAACTCTTTCCTATCCTTTTATGTTGAAAAATCTCAAACCTACAAAATGGTAACAAAATAGCTCAATGAATTTTTGCATATTCTTCACCCAGATTCCCAAATATTATTAACCTTTCGCCGTGTTTTCTTGATATCTCAATAGATGGATATAAATATATATTTGCTGCACCATTTGAAAATGTGGCAAGCACTGCTTCTGAACTGTGTATGAGCACTTACCCTATATGACTTTGCATCTCTTGTTATGAAATTTGTTGAGATTGATCCATGTTGTTGCAAGAGCTGCAGTTTGTTCTTTTTACACTACTGTGTATTATTCCATGCACTTACATATCATAGTTTATTTTTTCTCATATTGAGAAACATTTATCTCAAATTGTTCCTGTTATAAACAATATTGATATGCATATTGTTGCATGTGTCTCTTGGTGCACATGTGCATTTCTGTTAGGTATACACCTGCCAGTGGTGGAGAAAATCAGCTTATATGGATCTTCAGTTTTACTGTATCATATGAAACTATTTTTTCAGAAGGACTTTATTCCCTCTCTGATAGCAATGGATTAGAGTTCCAGCACTCAGCATTCTTTCTAACATTGCTCTATTGCCCAGACTGGAGTACAGTGGCATAATCTAAGCTCATTGCAGCCTCCACTTCCTGGGCTCAAGTGATTCTCCCACCTCAGCCTCCCAAGTAAATGGGACTATGGGTGTGCACCACCACAGGCAGCAATTTTTTAAAAATTTTTTGTAGGAACATGGTCTCACTATGTTGCCCAGGCTAGTCTCAAACTCCTGGGCTCAAGTGACCCTCTTGCCTCAGCCTCCCAAAGTGCTGGGATAACAGGCATGAGCCACCATGCCCAGTCTATCCCGAAATATTTAAGTGTGTAATATTAATTGACTTTAAAATATTTTAGCATAAAAAAGTGAAGACACAGATAACATTTCAGTGGCATCAGAAAATATTACCTAGGAATAAATTAAGAAAATTCAAAACGGTCAACAAATTTATAAAGTATTATCGAAACATTAAAGAAAATGGAGATTAAAGTAAATGGAGATACCATGTTCAAGAGATAGAAGTCTCAATATTCTAAACTTAGAGTCTTATAGAAAGTTTCTCTCTCATAAATATGTGTGGTTCTTTTTTGCAAATAAATTTATTTTCTGGACTATTTAACTTTTGTGATTCAAGAGTCAACTAAGATTAAAACAATAATAAATAAAACCATTATGGGGTATTATTACACACCTACTAAAATGGCTAAAATAAAAATCCTGACAGTAATCAAGTGCTAACCATATACTGCTGGTGGGGATGTAAAATTGTACAGCCACTACAGAAAAGAGTTTGGGCCAGGCACAGTGGCCTAATAACCCCAGCACTTTGGGATGCCAAGGTAGGCAGACTGCTTGAGCCCAGGAGTTTGAGACCAGCCTGGGCAACGTGGTGAAACCCCATCTCTACAAAAAAATACAAAAATTAGCCAGGTATGGTGGTACATGTCTATAGTCCCAGCTTCTCAGGAAGCTGAGGTAGGAGGATCACTTGAGCCCGGGAAACAGGTTGCAGTGAGCCAAGACTGCGCCACTGCACTCAGCCTGGGTTAACACAGTGAGACCTTGTCTCAAGAAAAAAGAAAGAAAAGAAAAGAGTTCACAGTTTCTAATAAAGCTAAATATACACTCACCACATGGCCCAGCAAACCCATTCCTGCATTTCTACCCTAGAAAAATGAAAATGATGTTCACACAAAAACTTATACATGACTATTAACAGGAATTCTCTTAATAATGATACCAAAAGAAGTCAAATGTCCTTCAATAGATCAAAGGATAAACCATAATTTTTGTATTCCACTATACGTCCTAACAATGGAATACCACCCTGCAATAAAAAGGAAGAAACTATTGATACATGCAATAACTGGGATGAATCTCAAAGGCATTACGCTGAGTGACAGAAGGCAATCTGTAAAGGCTGTATATTCTGTAATGCCATTTAAATGACATTCTCAAACAGAAAAAACTATAGTGATGGAGAACAGATCGCTAAAGTTGCCAGCAGTAGGAAGCAGGGAAATGGGTATGCATCGGCTAGCAGAAGGGACTTTGGGGTGATGGAAATGTTCTGTATCTTGATTGTGATGATGGCTATACAAATCTATACGTACGCTGAATTCACAGCACTGAACACCGGAAAGAAGTTTACAGTATAATTCTTAAAATAAATCATAATTCTGTGTTCTTCTTGCCTGATGTAAATATATGAAATGGGAAAGATGAAATAATTTAATTTTTTTTTCTGCCCAATAAAAGAGCCTAGATGCAATGATACACCTATAGTTTCTAAATACCACTCCCCACCAGAAGGAATCAAGGCCCCCTTGGGGAGGGGCTGATTACAGGACTGGGGCAGGGAGAGTACAAGGTAAGACTAAGATACCTTGCTACACCAGCAAGGAGGTTCTCAAAGACTAATGGGGGCCTGGCACAGTGGCTCATGCCTGTAATCTCAGCACTTTGGGAGGCCAAGGTGGGCGACTCCCTTGAGGTCGGGAGTTCGAGACTAGCCTAGCCAACATGGTGAAACTCCAACTCTACTAAAAATGCAAAATCAGGCCGGGCGCGGTGGCTCACGCCTGTAATCCCAGCACTTTGGGAGGCCGAGGCGGGTGGATCATGAGGTCAGGAGATCGAGACCATCCTGGCTAACAAGGTGAAACCCCGTCTCTACTGAAAATACAAAAAATTAGCCGGGCGCGGTGGCAGGCGCCTGTAGTCCCAGCTACTCGGGAGGCTGAGGCAGGAGAATGGCGTGAACCTGGGAAGCGGAGCTTGCAGTGAGCCGAGATTGCGCCACTGCAGTCCGCAGTCCGGCCTGGGCGACAGAGCGAGACTCCGTCTCAAAAAAAAAAAAAAAAAAAAAAAAAATGCAAAATCAGTTGGGTGTGGTGGTGCGTGCCTGTAATCCCAGTTACTCGGGAGGCTGAGGCAGGAAAATCGCTTGAACCTGGGAGGCGGAGGTTGCAGTGAGCTGAGATCATGCCACTGTACTCCAGCCTGGGCAACAGAATGACACTCCATCTCAAAAAAAAAAAAAAAAAAGGACTAACGGGGAAATGTCACATGAACACAGAAGTAGGCTGAAGAGGCTCCCCACTGGACAAATATGGGACAGTTTAAGTATCAAAAGAATAATACTAATGGTAATAGACTATAATTACCGAACAAAAAAAGAATCCATGACTATGGTGGTGATTGCACACACTTATGAATATAGTAAAATCCCTTGAACTGTCACTTTAAACGAGTAAACTGTCTGGTACATGAATTCTAACTCAATTAGGCTATTTTTTTAAAATCCATGAGTCCATGGGGATTTTTTAAAAAGGATCTGGAGGGCAAGGGAGGAAACTCTTCCCTACAGAAGAATGCCAGCTAACAAATTCATAGAAAAATGACAGTATTAGGAAAATCATTATTTTGCAATCACCAATGTAACAAATGCTTCAGACAAGAAGTATCCACAGATGTTAAAACTATTTATTGGGGAATGGGATAATCACTTGTTCTCAAAATATTACCGCATAGATTGCCTCTTAACATCAAAGGATAATTGAACCTTTAGTGTATAACAAACGAAAACAACTTAATCAAACCATTAAACTCACCAAGTGTAAGACTTTTTGTGCCTCCTGGTATAACTCAATGAGAAACACCCCAAAATACTTAGGTATTCATATAAAAAAACCAATTAACCTGAGTCTAATCATAAGGAACTCAGATAATCCAGATTATGGGACCGTTTACAGGATAAATATCTCGGACTCTACAAAAGTCTATGTCATGGAGGAAATAAAAAAGGTTGGGGACCCTGACAACCAAATGCAATGTATTTGTTCACTTGTATCCTGAGTAGAGAAAGAAGCTGTAAGGCTTTTATCACTGGGACATCAGGGAAATTGACCACATATTAGATAATATTAGTTAGTGAATATTAAATTTCTTGGGTGTGATAATGGCATTGTAGTTATGAGAAGTAGGACTCCATTCTTAGGAGACATGCTGAAATACTAAATGATAAGTGTCAAATTGTCTGCTACTTACTTAAAATATTTCAGGAAAAAAAAGAGGAAGAAAGAGGAGCAGAGCAGATTAAGCAAAATGTTAACTGGTGAATCCTGGGGAAAAAAAATACACGTTTTACCTTTTCTATAAATTGTAATTTTTCAAAAAAGCTGGAAAGGCAGAAAAAAAAGAAAAAGGTGGTGTTACTATGCATTTCAAACTTCCTCACTCATACCTCAAAGAGTAGAAAGGAAATAAATATGCTGTTACTAGACGAGCGTTAAGAGTTCAAAGAATTCAGAGACCAACTCTGCCTTCCACTAACAGTGTTTCGTGCTTTATGTAGATCAAGTTACACCACCAAAGGTCAGCTTTCTCACTGGTATTAAACAGAGAAATGTCTGTTAGCATATAAAATGGTTTACAAGGTAGATGAACATTACAGATTGACTGGGAATCATGACAAGGTATTCAAGAGGTACTTACTTTCCAATTACTCAGTTGGCAATAATGATTGAGAATTACTGTGAAGATTAAATGAAAAAAATATATATGAAAAGTACCTCATCTGGCATATGGCAGATGCTGGATAAATTCAACCTACTTTCTCCTTCAAATACAGAAAAATAATGTGGTAAGAACTTATCACTTACCAAGAGGCAACTATATACCAGACCTTTGGTGTCTTCACTTCATCAAAACTTAATGATTGAGATGTGTTGTTCTCACTACTTTTTCAAACTAATATTAAATGTCTAAAAGGATGAGAAAACCTTGGAAAACCATTGTGTGAACAAAAAGATAAATCAGCAGAGTCTAATTATCACAAGATCTTTGTTAGTCAACATGAAACATAGCATAGCTGACTGTGAACACAGATACTATTGGTATCCTCTACCAGGTAAATGACATGTTTGTCATTTACCCTGTGAAGGATAATAAATTTTGTCCCGAAGTGATTTTTAACTTAGTCATCATTCCATTCTCTGAAACAGAAGTATGGAAAAATTCACTGATAATAGGAAAGACTTACAATACGTGGATCAAGACACAGGCAAGCTGTATCAGAAACTTGGTAATCAGTTTGTAAGACTCCCACAGATCAATTTAACCACTTATTTCCAAAACATAATCAGGATACACACTAAACTAATAAGATCAAAATACTTTTCTAAGAATCATAACATTAACATAATTCCTTCCTACTATAAAAAACAAACCAGTGAAACACATTTGAGGCCAAAGAATCATGAGAATGGTTATCATCGGCTGTCTTTAATGAGATATTTGTAAAATAATAGGCACTAGAGAAAGATAATTACCTGACCCCACCTCCCCAAAAAAATCAGAATCAAATAAAAGCCTTCAAACAAATGGACTAAATTCTTATATTTTTCATATCTGAAAGCATTTTCATTCAATGAGGACACTGTAGCACCAGGTGTAAGTTTAACAGAGGCAGAGCTGTTGGCAAAACCTGGGCTGCCTGACCACAAAGCCCTGGTCTGAACCACTATGCTATGCGGCCTTCAGGAAACAGCAAATCTGACCCAAGAATAGAAGCCCAAACACAGTGAATATTAACACAGGATTAGAACAGGAGAATGAAAGATTCCAAGATTCCCAGGGTAAAAGGGGACTCAGGACAAAAGACAGTATGTTTTCAAAGTTGTCATACCTAAAAATAATGCAAATAATGCCTTTTTCATACAGAAAAGGCAATTAGAAACTCCAAGAAAAAAAGACAAGCTCATGCCCCAAATGTTGGAAATTAAATTTTAGCAACTGATAGAGTGCAAGAAGGTCTATTTGATTCTGATGCTGAAACCATCTCTCAGGGTGTAAGTCCCACACACAAAAAAAAATACAGCCTTAGCACACTACATGGTCTGATCATTCATGAAGTCTTCTCAATAATACAAACACTAGTTCACCGGTACTCCACTTTTAGAATCAATACAGAAGAGCTATGAAAGAAGTGACTGAGGGTAAAAGACAGGATGAAATTGTCAACCCTCTTGACAATGTACAATGAAAGTATAGTTGAGAGAAGTCTTTCCAGAAAGTGAAATTTGCAGGTTAAGGAGGACAAGGTGGCAAAAAGAAAGCAACAGCCTCATCATGTCAAGAGAAAGTTGTAAGATGCAGAAAGTTCGTAGGATAAGAAATAAAGAAACGAATATATAACTTAAAGTTTCTAAAATGAACAGAGGAATGAAATTTATATAACTGGAATGCTAGGATGAGACAGGGTTGGGGAAGAACATAATGTGAGCTTAATCACATCTTCCATCCCAAAGACTCAACAAACTTTATCTACTGACAAATTTTAAAACAGACATTTAAATAATATATTATCTGAAAGCACCGATGAAATAAGAACTAAAAATAAAACAGTTAAAATTTTAAAAAATAAAAAATAAAGGCTACCTCTAGAGAGTGGAACCAGAATGGAGAGGGATGGGCAGGAGACTGTTGTTTTTCATCTTAAGTCCTTCTACATTATTTGGGTTGTTACTAATTGCATATATTATTTTAATACAAGTTAACAATAAAAGAAATTAAATTTTAAATTTAACTTGTCATTATTTTAGAAGATGACTCTAAAAACAAGTACTTCATACAATGTCCAAATGTGGCATTTTAGTTTGTTTTTTAAAAACAAACTCTCATAAAAGTTGCATAAATAGCAGAGTTCACATATATGCTGGCTTCTCTAATGTTAATAAATTAACTACAGTACACTTATCAAAACCAGCTACCAGTTTTGCTGCAATGCTAATAGCTAAATTACAGATTTTGAATGTTACCAGTTTTTCCCAAAATCTTTTCTGTTCCAGGATCAAATCCAGGATCCTACACTGCATTTACTTGTTGTGTCTCCTTAGTCTTCTCTTATTTGTGGCAGTTCTTTCATCTTTCTTTATCATAACTTTGACAATTCTGTACAATGTCTCTCAATCTCGGTTTGTGTGATGTTTTCTCATGATCACACTGAGATTATGCATCTTTGGCAAGAAGACCAAAGAAGTGACATTGTGTCCTTCTTGGTGCATTATATTAGAGATGTATGATGTTAATATAATCTTATTACTGGTGATGCTAATCTTGATCACTTGGATAAAATAGTGACTGCCAGTCTTTCCAACTGTAAAATTACTATTTTCCCCTTTGTAAGTGATAAATAGCTTTGGGGAAATACTTCTAGACTATGATATTCGTTTTTTAAAATAAATGACAAATAAAGATTATATATATTAAAGTGAGCAATGTGATGATTTGATACACAATGTGTAATGATTACCACAATCAAATTAATTAACACATCCATCACTTTTCATGCTGTACCTTAAATACCCAGAACCTGCTGATCCTATAACTGACAATTTGTACCCTTTGAACAACATCTCCCCATTTACCCACCCCCTAACACCCGAGAACCATGGTTCTACTCTCTGCTTCTATGAATTTTACTTTCTTAGTTTACACATATAATACAATATTTGTCTTTCTGTTATGACACTCATTTTTGATACATTATACATATTTACAGTTATCTTTTAGAGATGCATAGTGACGTATTTCTGGATGAAATCAGAATGTCTGGTATTTGCTTCAATATCATACAGACATGTGGGAAGCAGGGTTTGGTATAGATGGAACAATACTGCTCAAGAGCTGGTAATTGATGAGACTACAGGGATTCATTTTAGTAATCTTTTTTGTGTGTCTTTAAATTTTTCCATGGTAAAAGTTTTAAAAAATTAGAACCCAAATAAATACAACTCCATGTACATATGTATCAAAAGATAACACAAATTTATCCATTCAGGTATCTTGATCGGAAAACACTATTATGCTTAAATTTACATTTTCTAATTTGAACCTTTTTTTTTTTTTTTCAAACAGTGCCAGGAAGCAGCTTCCAAGTTCATGCTGAGGTTTTTGCCACCAACATTTAAAATACAGGCATTGTGCGCCCTCTAGTGCGTTCTTCTATAATGTCAGTTTTGCACTGACAAGTTGAATAACAAAAAGCAGAGTATATTCAAAAAGGGAAAAAAAAAAATCCTCACAAAAATTTCTGCTTCTCCACTAGTCAATAAATTATCTGCTAGTTACTTGGCTATGTATACCAAAACCACTTCAAGGCCAAAGATTATCAACCTTTTCCCACCTACTCTACTGTTTCTCAGAACATATGATGCAGCACAGGGAACAAAAAAGGACAGACTACAATCAGTCAAAACATTTTTAAGCACCCCTCACAAAGGCCAGACGAAAAAGGATGCTGAAATCAATATTAATGGCTGTTTTAGAAGCATCTCATTGTGTTCTGCCCATACAAACAGTTCCATTTCTATCCTTTAGAATCCTCTAACACTCAGAAATTGTGCTCCACTCTCACTCAGGTCAAGATTTGGTTCAAGTCTTGTAGATCCCCCATCACATTATTTTCTTAGGATTTACTGAAAAATTCTATCAGTGAATTTATCTGCAAGACACAAACAGGAAGCAAAGTGTAATAAGAATCACAGGATTTGGAATTATACAAACTTGACCTCCAATTCCAGTCCTGCCACCTCCTAGTTGTATTACTTAATTTTTCTAAGCCTCTGCTTATGATCTGTACAAACAGGCTGATGTCTTACAGTTTAAGGATTAGGAAAATATATGTAAAGTTAACAATCATAATTAGTATTCAAATTTTAACTATTTTCATTATGTGATCCCAAAGTAATCTGTAGCCAGGTAGTCGAACCCACAGATAAACATTTTAATTTCCTTTGAATGATTCCAATTGCTATTTTTTAATTACACATCTAAAAAACTACATTTGACCTTCAAATTTAGTTTTCTTACATATATAGTCTCTTAATACTCCATATAAGATGGTGTTTATTCAGACAATAAGACAGTATACAGTAATGAGAACATCAAGGGTAATTCTTGACCCACACGGTATTCACTGGAGATAATTCGCACACACCTAATGAAGGATCTTCTTCATAAGTTTTATTATTTTCATGTGTCACTTCAAAAACTGTTTTGAATATATGAAATAGTTACAGGAGTAACTGTAACTAGAAAAGACAAAATTAAAATAAGAGCTATATGTAGACAGCAGTAAATATGATAAGAAAATTAATCTCAATGGAAGTACAGACAGTTTATCTGGCAGAAAACCATTAGCTTGCCTAGGAATTTAGTGAGAACTCCATAATTCTTGCTAAATGTATCTGGAGATCTTAATACCTAAGTACTTAAAACTGGTCTGCTTTTGAGAAGCAAGTATGATTAAGTCATTGGTTTGTTAAATATTTTCTGAGTGTGCTATGTGCCACACTCTTCTAGGTGTTAGATTAATAGTAGGGAACAAAACGGGAGGCATCTGCCCTCCTGATGCATACATTCTAGTGAAGGGAAGACAGCAGTAATTAATTTTTTTTTTTACTATTATTATACTTTAAGTTTTAGGGTACATGTGCACAATGTGCAGGTTAGTTACATATGTATACATGTGCCATGCTGGTGTGCTGCAACCATTAACTCATCATTTAGCATTAGATGTATCTCCTAATGCTATCCCTCCTCCCGCCCCCCACCCCACAACATCCCCAGAGTGTGATGTTCCCCTTCCTGTGTCCATGTGTTCTCATTGTTCAATTCCCATCTATGAGTGAGAACATGCCGTGTTTGGTTTTTTGTCCTTGCGATAGTTTACTGAGAATGATGATTTCCAATTTCATCCATGTCCCTACAAAGGACATTAACTCATCATTTTTTATGGCTGCGTAGTATTCCATGGTGTATATGTGCCACATTTTCTTAATCCAGTCTATCATTGTTGGACATTTGGCTTGGTTCCAAGTCTTTGCTATTGTGAATAGTGCCGCAATAAACATACGTTTGCATGTGTCTTTATAGCAGCATGATTTATAGTCCTTTGGGTATATACCTAGTAATGGGATGGCTGGGTCAAATGGTATTTCTAGTTCTAGATCCCTGAGGAATCGCCACACTGACTTCCACAATGGTTGAACTAGTTTACAGCCCCACCAACAGTGTAAAAGTGTTCCTATTTCTCCACATCCTCTCCAGCACCTGTTGTTTCCTGACTTTTTAATGATCGCCATTCTAACTGGTGTGAGATGGTATCTCATTGTGGTTTTGATTTGCATTTATCTGATGGCCAGTGATGATGAGCATTTTTTCATGTGTCTTTTGGCTGCATAAATGTCTTCTCTGGAGAAGTGTCTGTTCATATCCTTTGCCTACTTTTTGATGGGGTTGTTTGTTTTTTTCTTGTAAATTTGTTTGAGTTCATTGTAGATTCCGGATATTAGCCCTTTGTCAGATAAGTAGGTTGCAACAATTTTCTCCCATTTTGTAGGTTGCCTGTTCACTCTGATGGTAGTTTCTTTTGCTGTGCAGAAGCTCTTTAGTTTAATTAGATCCCATTTGTCAATTTTGGCTTTTGTTGCCATTGCTTTTGGTGTTTTAGACATGAAGTCCTTGCCCATGCCTATGTCCTGAATGGTATTGCCTAGGTTTTCTTCTAGGGTTTTTATGGTTTTAGGTCTAACGTTTAAGTCTTTAACCCATCTTGAATTAATTTTTGTATAAGGTGTAAGGAAGGGATCCAGTTTCAGCTTTCTACATATGGCTAGCCAGTTTTCCCAGCACCATTTATTAAATAGGGAATCCTTTCCCCATTGCTTGTTTTTCTCAGGTTTGTCAAAGATCAGATAGTTGTAGATATGCGGCCTTATTTCTGAGGGCTCTGTTCTGTTCCACTGATCTATATCTCTGTTTTGGTACCAGTACCATGCTGTTTTGGTTACTGAAGCCTTGTAGTATAGTTTGAAGTCAGGTAGTGTGATGCCTCCAGCTTTGTTCTTTTGGCTTAGGACTGACTTGGCGATGCGGGCTCTTTTTTGGTTCCATATGAACTTTAAAGTAGTTTTTTCCAATTCTGTGAAGAAAGTCATTGGTAGCTTGATGGGGATGGCATTGAATCTAAAAATTACCTTGGGCAGTATGGCCATTTTCACGATATTGATTCTTCCTATCCATGAGCATGGAATGTTCTTCCATTCGTTTGTATCCTCTTTTATTTCATTGAGCAGTGCTTTGTAGTTCTCCTTGAAGAGGTCCTTCACGTCCCTTGTAAGCTAGATTCCTAAGTATTTTATTCTCTTTGAAGCAATTGTGAATGGGAGTTCACTCATGATTTGGCTCTCTGTCTATTATTGGTGTATAAGAATGCTTGTGATTTTTGTACATTGATTTTGTATCCTGAGACTTTGCTGAAGTTGCTTATCAGCTTAAGGAGACTTTGGGCTGAGACAATGGGGTTTTCTAGATATACAATCATGTCGACCAATAACAGGATCTGAAATTGTGGCAATAATAGCTTACCAACCAAAAAGAGTCCAGGACCAGATGGATTCACAGCCGAATTCTACCAGAGGTACAAGGAGGAACTGGTACCATTCCTTCTGAAACTATTCCAATCAATAGAAAAAGGGAATCCTCCCTAACTCATTTTATGAGGCCAGCATCATCCTGATACCAAAGCCAGGCAGAGATACAACCAGAAAAGAGAATTTTAGACCAATATCCTTGATGCACATTGACGCAAAAATCCTCAATAAAATACTGGCAAACCGAATCCAGCAGCACACCAAAAAGCTTATCCACCATGATCAAGTGGGCTTCATCCCTGGGATGCAAGGCTGCTCCAATATACACAAATCAATAAATGTAATCCAGCATATAAACAGAACCAAAGACAAAAACCACATGGTTATCTCAACAGATGCAGAAAAGGCCTTTGACAAGATTCAAAAACCCTTCATGCTAAAAACTCTCAATAAATTAGGTATTGATGGGACTTATCTCAAAATAATAAGAGCTATCTATGACAAACCCACAGCCAATATCATACTGAATGGGCAAAAACTGGAAGCACTCCCTTTGAAAACTGGCACAAGACAGCGATGCCCTCTCTCACCACTCCTATTCAACACAGTGTTGGAAGTTCTGGCCAGGGCAATTAGGCAAGAGAAACAAATAAAGGGTATTCAAATAGGAAGAGAGGAAGTCAAATTGTCCCTGTTTGCAGCAGTAATTAATTTTTGAACAAGAAATGAAGGTAATTTCAAACATCAGTGCATGCAAAGGTAACAGGTGAGTGATCAGGGATGGGGTAGGTCTATTTTAGCTGGAGTGATCACAGGAGGTCCCTCAGAGAAGGGGCATGTAAACTAACACCTAGATAAAGGAAAATCACGCAAACGTGATAATATGCACTTACAAGCCACAGTTCTTCATGAACACTTCCATCAACACAGATTCCTTACACTTGCTTATTTCCTCTAATTAATTTATTTTTAATATCATGTAGACTTCCAGTTTCCCCAAACTCCTGGCACTAACGCCTATCTAAAGGCTTAAAGACTACAGATATAAATATGGATTACTCATTTTAAATACATATTTTCCTCCCCAGAAAAAATTTATCTGTTTATAAAATGTAAAATACACAGCTCACCATAAAGGTTAAGTTCATGGATTCTGGAGTCCTCTGATCTCTCCCTTACTGGTATGAGACCCTGGGCCAACCACAAACTTACCAAGCTTTAGTTTCTGTCAAGTAGGGATCGCATTTTGGGCTGCTGTGAGGATTATGTGAAATAATGTATGTAAACAACTTAGCACAGTGACTGGAACATTTTAAGTACTTGGTAAATGTAAACAGTTTATTTCCATCTAAAATGACACACATTTTTTAGGTGTTTACATATGAATATATCAATATAAGAAGTATTCTCAGATTTTAACTTTAAAATCAAAACTACATATAAAAGTAAATAAATCAGAAGTAAATTCATGTCTTCAATTTCAGTGAGACCACCAAATAATTTTTAAAGATGAGTTTCTACACTAGTGCCCAAAAGAACAAAGGTGGCAGAAAAAGAAAACGAACAGACATTTCCATTTACAGAGGAGAATGACCAAAAAAAAAAATAGTGGTACAGACAATTACTCATGGATCTTAACAACGATGGATGCCCACATGTGGGCTGAAGCTAGAGATGTATGAAATGGTCTTCTTTCTGAAGAGATGAAACTTTAGCTGGAAGGGTTTGAAGGGACAGAATACGGCAGATCCTATGGGGTGACTCAGTAACGGTAGTACCACTGCCCCCAGTCCACCCTTTGCCTGACTTCATCTACTACAGTGAAAAGCTACATACTCAACTTCCCAATCCCCACGCAACTCATAAAGGCCCTGAGATACCATCTGTCCCAGGAAAGTTTTTGTTTTCGAGATAAACAAAAGGACAGATAAAGTTAGTACTGCCTCATGCCCTTCCCCTTCTTCATAGTTCTGGAATAGAACTATGATGCCTGAAAGCAGAACAGCCATTTTGTGACCATGAGTCAATTAGCCAGAGCATTAAAGTTAGCCAGGCAAAATGAAAGAGACTGGATTCTCCTTGCCCTCATCTAACCAGTACACCAGCCTTAGAATGATCATCTTCAGATTTCTTGTTACAAAAGGGAAAAACAGAAAACTTTTTTGGTGAAACCATTGTAGTCAAATTTTCTGTTATTTGAAGCCTAAATGCAATCCAAATGGACTCACGAAGACGAAGAAAGATGACATTTCACATGGGATGAAAACCACAAAGGAACAACAACAAAGAGCTACTTCAACACTATGGTTTATGGTCACAACGTTTAAATAAAGAATTAACAGATAATTTCCACCTGTATCCAATAGCTTCCAATGTGTTTACAGTGAAGCATCATATTATTGCATTTACATCCCATAAACCATACACACAGGAACTGGTGCCCCTTCAGGACAACATGGCCAACATGCAACAATGGAAATATGTAGCATTTTCAAGTCACTTCACAGCGTAAATGAAATTTGTCCAAGGAATGAAAAAAGTAAATAGCAGCTGGTTTCATGTAAACGAAACATGAGAAACTATGCACTGAAGGGCTAGAGTAATACTTCCACATTAAGATAATTTTACTCAATTGTTCTTCCTAAAAATATTTGCTTATTTAAGAGATGATGAAAAACTAAAGGCTAAAGTCCAGGTTTGAGGAGTAATAATTTTAGGTTCTTGAATTAAAGAATGAATCAAATGAACCAGCATTCATTCTTCATAGAACATCTCTACGGTAAAGTTATAATAATGTAAATGCAATTAAGTGACTCATTTTATAAACCTCTATGATAAAAGAGGAAATTTCATTTTCATTTGTTTAATATTTCCATCAAAAAGAATGTCTCATTACACATTTACTGAAAGCCTGAATAATAAAACAATGGACAACTTCCAAGAGCAAACAGGGATTTTTTTCTTTTCCCATGAAGCTAGCATTATGGAATTTTAACAGATGTTCTATTTGGTCATAGTTAATAAAATGAATTATGTAGGATTAAAATAGGGTTCAATATGTTTGCATTGGATTTTAACTGAAAAACAATTTCACATTAGAAGTTTGGAAAGATTTTGAATCATTTTTTTTCCTTTTCAGTAGAAGTGCTAAGATGAAGAAAGTAAATGAATAATTATAGCACTTACTGCTTTTCCAATAAAACCAGACTTATAAAAACTACTTTTTCAAGGTTTAAGAAGACTGAAATCTTAGAAAAGTATATACGCTTTGGTATTTCATCACCTGTCTCATGCAAAGATCATAGTAATGTAGTATATCAAAAGCCTGATTCACTACCCTACATAACTCCAAGCCCCCTTAGAGCTCCCTCACCTTTCTGAAATGATCATGACGTCAGGCAGCATCTGAACAAAAATAAGTCAAACTTAAAGCAGTGAAAAACGACAAGTATTCACTGAGTGCTCACTGTGTAGAAGATATTATGCTAGAGCCTGGGCATCCTACAAGGAGGTAAAAACCCAGTGGCTGTTTTCAAGAGGATTTACACGCTATCTGGAAAGATAAGGAACAACCCAACTATAAGGACAAACTGAAAGAGAACAAGGTAAATCAAAGAAAACAATTTCACACAAACATACACAGAGACAGATACACAGCACTGATACAAGAAGGGGGAAAATTCTCCCTTATGAGCTAGGACTATTTTTTTTCTCTTTTACAATCATGATAAGCAGGAAATAGTATATAGAGCCTTAAGGACAGTAAAGATGCAACAGAAGTTCTGGCGATAGTTGCTTGGTAACATTTTTCAGTGGAAAACATCCAACTGGTGCAATCTCCATAAGAATAAGCCAAAAATGAACAATCATGGAATTTTCCCAACACACTTCCATTAGGAATCTTGATCAGCTCAATCATCAATTAGGGTAACTTTACTTTTTATACCAATATGCTGTTTTTCCTACATAAGTAGCCAGTGAATACAAAATCAACTGCAGGTTGCAATTTTTTTACTATTATAAAGATGTCTCTCAATAAGACATCTGGATATAACACTCTCATTATAGCTGAAGAGCTTTACAAGCAGTAACAGTTGTCTGGCCTCTCATTCAAACACAGCAATTGTTAGTCATCAACATGTCTGAATGCAGACATATCAAGGTTGCAGCCCTGTTAAAGAACCCAACAACCTAAAAGCAGGTTTAATTTCCGAATCTCCTAGCAGGCTATACTGCTATCACAGCCGCCTTTTAGAACTGCTGTAAAGGTATAAAGGTATCAACGAGAAGAGTCTATGCAAAGTTCCTAGCACAAATGGGCAAACCTGGACTCAGATTAAGTAAACTTGTCAGGAGCAGATGGCTGGTAAGGGACAGAGCTGCATTCCACACTTGGGTGTTTTATCAGTCCATTCTCACACTGCTATAAAGATACTACCTGAGACTGAGTAATTTATAAAGGAAAGAGGTTTGGCTCACAGTTTGCATGGCTGGGGAGCCTCAGGCAACTTACAATCATGGCAGAAGGCAAAGGGAAAGCAAGGCACGTCTTACATGGCAGAAGGAGAGAGAGAGCACAAAGGGGGAACTGCAAACACTTTTAAAACCATCAGCTCTTGTGAGAACTCTCTCAGTCTCAAGAGCATGAGGGAAACCACCCATGCAATCACCTCCCATCAGGTCCCTCCCCTGCCACGTGGGGATTACAATTCAAGATGAGATTTAGGTGGGGACACAGAGCCAAACCATATCAGGTGTCCTTCACTGTTAAAGCTCTTTCAGTTACCAGAGTACCAATCATCCTAGTTAACATTTCCTGAGCACGTACTGTGTGACAGGCATTACAGAAGGCACTTCGCCTGGATCCCCTCATTTAATCCTCACAAGAATTTGGGGGAAGTTTCAAATCATCAGTTCACAGGAAAGTAAATAAAACTGTTCTCAGATATATGTTATTATGTCCAGTCTTACTTGTAATTAAAATTAGAACTACAATGACATCATGTTTTGTCTTTAAGACTGCTAGTCCATAGGTGAGGCAGGGGAAAACAGAAGGCTCCTACATTGTTGGCAAGTGTCAATTGGTACTTCCCTAAAGAGCAATTTGGCATTATCTACCAAAATTACAAATGCCGATACTTTTCACGAAGTAATTCTACTTGTGGTATGTAACCTGCAAACATTCAACCATGTATAAAATAACACAGGAACAGCATCACTCACTGCAGCATGTCTGTAATGTCCACCAACTGGGAAATGTTAAATAAACAATGGTTTGTTTATACAATGGACTACTATGCAATCATTATAAAAGATAGTGCTCTTAATGAAGTGATATAAATGATCTCCAAAACAAAGTAGGTTAGAAAGCAGCAACAAAAAATACAGAAGATCTAGGATAGAGTGTCTCTGGAAAAACACTAAGGAGACTTATATAACATGAGTGTTCGGGGGAAAGGCACTGAGTAGGCAGACAGCAGAACTGGGAAGGAGACTTTGGAGGGCAGTCCTTGACGCTTGATCGCTGAAGGTTCCCGTTTCCAGCCACTGGATTTAGGGGAATCCCCACTGCCTAACATGGATATTAAGGGAAAACAAGTCTGAAAAGCTGCCATATCCACTTTTGAATAAACTACTAAGAGTGATGATTTTTGCACCTAAAGACTGGGGGCTTCAATGAACTTACTGAACAGATTGAATTACTTGTTTGGCATGTTGACTGCTTACAGCAAAACTAGGGTGGGGAGAATAACCCTCACCTATCTCAAATCTCTTTACTAGCATCTACCGAAAAGAAACCAGGAGTTATTTGTTATTAAAATGGCTACATCTTGCCATTGGGACAGCTCCAACCAGCTTCTCACCTTCAGGTTTCTGCAGACAGGAGTCAGATACCAGCAAGTTATCCTCCAGACTCCAGGGGACACATGTCAGGCTCTTTCAAGGGCTTTTCCCAAATTCTCCACTCCAGTCCCTGGCAAACAGCTGAGGGCAAGAAGTTCAACTTCTCCTCCAGGCAAACACCCCACTTCGTGCTCTCTTGAAGGCCCTCCCTTGGCTTGCACTCTCTTCTATGGTCATGAAAACCCCAATTCTGCTTCAATAAGCAAGCTACACACATGTACTTTCACACCCTTATGGCTTTGCTCTTGCTGTTCCATCTGCCTATAACCTTAACTACTTCTAACTGCCACTCCTTCAACAATTAAGAATCGTTTTATGCTAACTGAGCACCACTCAAGCATTGCTTCGTCTGTAACCCCACCTGCATCTTGTATATACTTATCATTACAGTGCTTATGACACTGCACTGTAAAGTGTCTACTTCCCTGTTTGTTTCCCCGCCAGAAAGTGAATGCTTCAGGGCAGAAATGTTCCTTGTAGTGCCCCAAGACCCAGTAGGCACTCCAGAAAGGACAGCTGAGTGAAATTTGTGGACAAAAGACATCTGCTAAGTTTAACTAATTCCCACTTCTTTTGAAACAATCTGCTTTACTCTGCTTTCTTCCTCTATAAAAAGTCCTTCTAATTCACATCCAAGAGTATGAGGCTGCTCTCCATAAAATTTTCAGGCCAATAGCATCTCAAATCATCCTGGATATGAAAGCATCTATGATTTTGCTCCCCACTTTCATCTTACTGCAGTAATATCACTGCACCAGCATGCTTGACCACATCTCATTTGGCAAAGATCATGAGAAAAATGAACACTAAAAGGATGAGGTAGTGTAATCTGCTGACCTTGTTTAGACTCCATCTAAAATTCACAGTAACTAAAATAATTTCAGAGAATGTAAGGGATAAGCATGCAATCTCCACAAACATCAAATGCAGTAAAAAAAAAAAAAAAAAAAAAGTGTGACAACATTCACACAATCTAAAGAACACCGAATCTATCTTATAATGCATGGACTCAAACTTCAATCTCATTCTAATGGGCAACTGCTAGGGAGATAAAACCAGTTTAAAGAAAAAATTGCATACAGAATAAATGTATACGTTTCCAGGTGATTCTCACTAAGATTTTGATGTATTTTCTTATTGAAACAACAGACACGCTCTTGGCAAAAAGATTTTATATTGGTGCCAGAATAAAGTAAGAATCTAAACTATTTATAATGCATAAAATTCTGCTTAAAGCAGATGTATCACTTCTTATTTTTCTCATTTTGAGAAGAAGCTATGTTTCATTCGGCAATAATTCTTCTCTCATTCTATCACAGAATCTGTACAAAAGCAATACCTCAACTAAAATCAACTCTGAATAAATATGCATAATGCAGAAGACCTCAATTAAATCTCCAACAAAACGCTGCCATTTTGAGTAAACAAAGTCATCTCAGTGAGGTCACACTACTTTCAAGGATTGCAGGCTACAAATTAATTACTAGCAGGACATATGTCAAAACAAATTTTTTAAAGAACAGAAAGCAGTTGCGACCATGTGTTTTATCTGTTTGTATGTAAAACCAGTATTCTCCGGCATGTAAATATTCATTTATTCAGCATCTCTCAGAAAAATAAAAAAGGCTTATTGCCTCTCTTTGTCCTGCACCCAGGTGAAATCTGAGTAAGGAACACATGTTTAGTGAGTCAGAAACTAAGTACAGAGTGAATATACAGTATGGGTGCTATTTCTGAAAGGCACAAGTCATCTCCACACAATTAACTAATTTTGAAACATTAAGTTTGCCTTAAAAAGAAGTTCTTCAAAGATCTACACCAACTAGGTTGCTATGAAAACCAAAGCTTTAAGTCACAAGTAACAGTGTTGGTATGTCATAAAGAAGATTGTTATCTCTAGTTAAAAACAAAAAACTACCTGAGAATAAAATTTGGGATTTCAATGAATTTCAGTATTCGGTCAAATACGGCAATATTTAACTATTATGTTTCAGTATACCAGAACCTCCAAATAGAAAACGCAGATGCAGAGCAGATGTATGCAGGTTCTCACTTGTATTTTCTTTAACAGAGAATTGTGTCCCAAACCAGACTTCTCTTATATCTCACCTATCTGAAAACGAACTTTTGAACTTAGAAAAAACTAACTTTTTCAAGATAGTCTCTTCTATGTGAAGCAAAGATTATAACATGCTTCTTTTTATTTTTATTTTTTTTCTTTTTTGAGACAGGGTCTCTCTGTCACCCAGGCTGGAGTGCAGTGGCACAATCACAGCTCACTGCAGCCTCGACATCCCAGGCTCAAGCAGTCCTCCCACCTCGGCCTCCCAAGTAGCTGGGATTACAGGCACCACCATGCCCAGCTAGTTTTCGTATGTTATAGAGACAGGGTCTCACAATGTTGCCCAGGCTGGTCTTGAACTCCTAGGCTCAAACAAACCACCCACCTCCACCTACCAAAATGCTGGGATTACAGGCTTGAGTCACCATGCCTGGCCCATACCATGTTCTTGCAGTAATATACTGAAACTACTTAGTGATGGTAAACTTTTGCTCTTTCAACCAAACAGAACAAAAGAAAATTTCCCATGTGTTGAATCACAGAAATTTAGAGTTAGAAGGCAAAGAGAGGTGAAGTGGCTTCCCCTGGGATACACTGCTCTGTGAATCACCTGCAGTGCCAGGACTCCAGTCCAGACTGAACTTCCCAGCTCATATTTTGTTATCAAGAAGCCAAGGGCTCACTGCCTGATACAGACTTCTGAGACATCCACCTCTTAAACCAGCGGTCCCCAACCTTTTTGGCACCAGGGACAGGTTTTGTGGAAGAAAATTTTCCATGGACCAGTGGTGGGGTGGGTGGTTTCAGGATGAAACTGTTCCACCTAAGATGTTCCACCTCCGATCATCATGCATTAGATTCTCATAAGGAACACACAACCTAAATCCCTCACATGCGCAGTTCATAATAGGGTTCGTGTTCCTATGAGAATCTGATGCTGCTGCTGATCTGACAGGAGGCAGAGCTCAGGTGGTAATGCTCACTCACCTGCTGCTCACCTCCTGCTGTGTGGCTCAGTTCCTAACAGGCCACAGACTAGTACCAGGCCACGGACCAGTACACGTCCACGGCCCTGGGGTTGGGGTCCCTGTCTTAGAAGGCTTATTTCATTACCAATTTTTCATTAGTTCCTCAAAATTCAGTAATAAACTTGATATCTTACCCTTAGTAGTTATTTCTTTTTTTTTGGAGACAGAGTCGCTCTTGTTGCCCTGTTGCCCAGGCTGGAATCCAGTGGCACGATCTTGGCTCACTGCAACCTCCACCTCCCAAGTTCAAGCAATTCTCCTGCCTCAGCCTCCCGAGTAACTGGGATTACAGGTGCCCACCACTTGGCTAATTTTTATATTTTTAGTAGAGACGAGGTTTCGTCATGTTGGCCAGGTTGGTTTCGAACTTGCCTCAGGTGATCTTTCTGCCTCGGCCTCCCAAACTGTTGGGATTACAGGCGTGAGCTACCACGCCTGACCCGAAGTTACTTCTTAATACTTCAACTATAAGAGGCCGGGAGGCCGGGCGCGGCGACTCACGCCTGTAATCCCAGCACTTTGGGAGGCCGAGGCGGGAGGATCATGAGGTCAGGAGATTGAGACCATCCTGGCTAACATGGTGAAACCCCATCTCTACTAAAAATACAAAAAATCAACTGGGCGTGCTGGTGGGCACCCGTGGTCCCAGCTACTCGGGAGGCTGACGCAGGAGAATGGCGTGAACCTGGGAGGCGGAGGTTGCAGTGAGCCGAGATCGCGCCACTGCACGCCAGCCTGGGTGACAGAGCGAGACTGCATTTCAAAAAAACAAACAAAAAATACTTCAACTATAAGAGACATTTAGCCACCCTAGAATAACAAGTCAGTAACAACATGGGTCATTCTGACCACTGAAATTGCTCTTCCGGCAAACCCATTCTACTCATTCTTTTAAATATAAAAACTCAGAAAATTTAACAGAAGAGTGACGATAATTTCCCTTTTTGATTTTTTAAACCAAGTTTCTCCAAATATATTTCTAATTGTTAAGTAGTATAAATTTACTGAACAAAGGACATCATTCTTTCGTACTTCAATATTGGAAAGTAAGTGACTTACCTCTCTTAAAACTGTGCTTTTATAGCCTCGATACAACCCTTGGATACCCTGAAACAAACACACAGCCGAGAGTTCAGAAAGAATGGCAGAGATTTCTGAAGGACATTCTGTATACAGCAGATCTACCTGCTCTTGTTTGAGTTCTAGAACATTCACAATTGCCACACTTCTCTAAGAGGTTAATGATTCTAAACTGTCCTAAGGTACATAACTATACCTTATATAACTTATATACCTCTATAACTAGCTCCTAAGGGAGCTCAGATTAGCTCTCTTTGAAACAGGAACATCTCTAACAATAAAACTGACTACATATTTACTTAGTTTTAGTTGCTGTTATTCTACTAAATATTAATTATATAGTACTTAATTGCTCTAACATGTGTTCTCTTGAAAAGAACATTTGAGATGCTTTAAATACATTTCCAAAAGCAAATGCCTACAAATGCCAATTATCCTTTTGTATAAAAACAATTATATTTATAGCCTCAAACATCAGAAATTCATTCATAATCTCTCAAACTAGTGGTCAGTATTTCCAGACAACCCTGGATTAACCATCCACATAGTTCAACGGGGAAGTTATACTAGCTTCATCTCATTTGTACAATTAGATATTCAATGTCTCCTCACCTATGTAACACACCATTACAAATAACTTTTCTAAAATCAAGACTCTTTGAAAATTCCCATGTGATTGATTCTCATGTCTTTTTAAAAAAAGGCTTCCATAAAAACTATAAAGGAAAGCAGCTAAATGCTCTCTAGTCACATGGTCAGGAAGAATAATTTCTGACTGACAGCTTCAAATACATCTGTAAAAGAAGCTACATTTTGGTATAAACGTTATGACATTGGTCACTGTTATCAGTCCAGTACTAAATCTCTTCCATGGACCTAAAATACTATACTGATGTTTTAATATAATATCTTTCTTCATTTTACATATTTAAAATTTGTTTCACATCTGATTCCAGAAGAACTGCAGGAAGATTACAATTCAGGACACTCAATGTTATGCTCAGAAATTTGAAAAACATGTAAATGAAAATATTCAAAAACCAATAAAAGGCAAAGATAATCTTAGCAAAAATTTACTATAACTGGACATTAAATTTAGCTCTAAAGTTTTCTCTAAGGCTCTTAGGATGAAATCCACAGTGTTCGTATTAGCTACTATAAAATCTTAATAAAGAAAAGAAGAGCTTAAAAAACCCATCTCACCTCTTCATATAAGATGTTAGAGAAAATCTGAAATGTTCTTGTAGAAGCAGATACCTGTGCCCTCTGCTTAACCACTTCAGATGGAACTCGAATCAGGCAGGCAACCTAAAAGACAAATTTGATTATATCCTAAAAAGTAAATAACTGCTATAAAAATTGAAATTTTTTGGTAAGCAAAAATTGTAGTAAAAAGGTATAATATGTAGGCTTACTGCAAGATGTCAAAAAGTTTCTTTTTTTTTTTTTAACCTAAAACTCTTGGACCCTTAAAGCATGTACATTGTTTTGTCAGCCCAGAACCTTTCCTGGCTTGTCCTATATAGATCCTGCCACCTCCCGCCAGATGTTCCAAGAACATCTGTCTACAAGCCTCCCAACGGCAAGAAGCACATTTACTCATTTCGAATCCCCAACGCCCAGAACTGCAACTGGCACATGACATTTCAAACATGTGTGATGAAAAATGAACCAGAGGAACCTCTGCTTTACTGGAAGTAATGCATACATCCGTAGAGGCAAGCTGACCATCAGCTGGTACCCAGCCTTCCACCCTTCACCAACTCCAGCCCCTAGACCTCTTGATCATGCAGCAACTGAAAAGGGACTCCCAGCACTCTCATACACTCTCCTCCAGCATTCCAGCAGACTTGAGTCATCCTCACAGCTACCAGCCAATATATGATTCTAATATCACCCTTGGTGACATGCTGAGGCCGGGTATATGTCATCTCAAATCCACACTGCCAGGATTTTACCTTACCCTATATTAAGGTAATTTACTTATTTTCAGAAATAGAAACAATAAAGAATTAGTCAAACCCAAAGGAACTCTGCCCACAAAAGCAAAGAAGGCAAGGTTGGAGAAGGGGTGGCAAGGTACAGGGAGGGAGATGTGTAAAAATATTTTAAACATTTTAATGAAAGTCCTGTATTTAAGCCGCTATGCACCTAGCAGTCTGCAAATATACAAACTTTTTCTGCAACTTAGATTTCACATATGTAACCTTGAACATGAAAGTTATGGCACTCGGGAAGCCGAGACAGGAAGGTCGCTTGAGCCCTGGAGTTCAAGACCAGCCTGCAAGAAATGTAAGAAAACCATTCCACCAAATAGAGTACACAACTCAAAGAGGTTTGCCCTTTATGATCCGTATTCTCCTGATTCCTAATCAGAGATCAGTACTCAATTTGGATATCACATAAGGCTTTGCCTGTCCAAAATTAAATGGTTCTAAGGCAAGGCTCTACAGCAAATTTATAATGTAAAAGACCAAATAGGAAATATTTTACAGTTTGCAAGCCACATGGTCTCTGTCACAATTGTTCAACTATGCTGTTTTAGCACAAAAGCATCTATACATAATAATATATAAATTAAAAGTTTGCCTATGTTCCAATAAAACTATATTTACAAAAACAGGTGACAGCTTGCCAACTCCTACTCCAAGGGAATTAGCCTTGGCAAGAGCAGACTGGGCACAGAACAGATATAAGCCCGAGCACCCCATGACAAGTGGGACAAAGACACCATGTGATGTGATTTTAGATGTCATGAAGTCAGCTAACACGGGCATATTGCCTCTAAAGCTAAGAAGTAACAATGCTTCATACCGATGCATTACAACAAAGGGTATGGTTATGTTAACAAAGGATTCATAACCTGAAGTTATTTTTCTACCAAAACTGACAAGATTTACAAAACGATATCATCTGATTTCCATTTCTTCATTCACTGAACATTTGAATGCTTCTTATGTATAAAGCTGTCTGTAACTTGGGCCAACATATTTTTCCACCCAGTCTCCCTTCAAACTTATCTAATTCAGTTCAAGAAATACATATGGAGCCAGATACCACACAAGCCACTCCATGATAAAGAAGACTAAGATGATGCCCTGGCTTCAAAGAACCCGCAAATACATATAAATAATTTCAATAAAACATGGCCAAAAGGGGGGTGGGGCGCATGGACAAAGATTATGGGAAATGTGGAGGAGGGGTATTTAGTCCAACCCCCAGATTCAGAGAAACTGCCCAAGATTACACCATTATAGAACCTTCTGGATGAGCCGGAATGAGCTGGCAAGAAAGGTGGAAAGGGCACAGTGGGAAGAATGAACAATAAAAGGAAGTACATAAATACAAAAGCAGGGTGTTCAGGGGAATCAGCGGCAGTCCCACCAACACAGTATTCCAAAGCTGGCAGCTGCCCACACCATTCCGTATTACCAAAGCAGCAAGTGCAAGGTCAGGAGTAATGACAAGTAAGACTGGACAGACAAGGCCCTGTATACCATGCTAAGGGGCTGAAACTTCATTCCATAGTCAGTGGGAACACTTGAAAAAGCTGAAGCAGAGGAATGACGTGTGCTTAGGGAGATCACTCTGGCTGCAATGCACAGGACAGCTGGAGGGTGGGGAGGAAGGCAAGAAGCAAAGGGGGACCACGAGCCAGAAGGCAAAAGATGGGTTACGAGACTGCTATAGCAGTTCTATAAAAGACATCTGGAAATGAATATGGCTCAGAGAAGGTCAAATCTGAGGAAAAAGGAGTAAAATGCACCGGACCTGGTCACTGACAGGAGGTTAAGGAGTGAAGAAGTAGGGAGACAGTAAGATGCTTCTGTTTCTGGTTTGGATAATAGGCATATGGTGGTCCCAAAACATGAGATTAGCAGTCCAGGGAAGAAGGGAGGTAAGTTCAGACTAGGCAAGGCTGAGTTGAAGTCTGGGGGACAGGTAAGGGGCTATGTCCAGTCAAGAAATGAATATATGGCTATAAAACTAGAAAGTAACTTTTTCTTGGATGTGAATACAGATATGGAAGTCATCAGCATACAGGTGATCGCTAAAACCAGATAGTAACACCCAAAGAGAGAACCAAAAAGGAAGATCAAAGCCAATAATGGAACCCTGGGAACATAAATTTCTAAAGAGCAAGCAACACTGGAAGGCGGTACATAATGTTGCAGGGCACACCTGCCTTCTCTGGCAGCCCAGCTTCCGACTCTCACGTGTGGGGGGCTTCCCAGTTAGGAAAAACAAAGGGAGTCAGTCTCTCCCCTCCTACCCTGGCAGGAGGACCACAATCAGGTGAGTTAGGTCTGGCTAATCAAACACTCCCGTCCAGGGGTCTGATTCTAGAGCTATGCTGGCAAATATGCAGGCCACTAGCCCATGCAGCTATGGAGCACTTGAAAAGTGGCTAGTACAACTGAGATGTTCTGTAAGTGTTAAAATGACAGATTTTGAAAACTTGGTATAAAAAATTAATGTAAAATATCCTGTTAATAATTAAAAAAAAAAAAAAAGAAAAGGAAAGAGAAGAAAAAAGAGAGAGATGAGGGCTCACTATGTTGCCCAGGCTAGCCCTGAACTCCTGGGCTCAGGCAATTCTCCCACCTTGGCCTCCTGAGTAGGTGGTGCCACCATGCCCAATTAATAATTATTTTACATTAATTATACAGTGAAATCTAAATACCATGGATGTGTGTGGTTTAATAAAATATGTTATTAAAATTCATCCCAGCAGATGTTTTCACCTTTTTTAATGTGGCTATTAGAAAATATAAAATTTCACCTGCATCTTACATTATATCTCCATTGAACAGTGCTGTTTGGAGCAAGCGGGAGAGCTGAACATTCATTTACAGAAATAATTGCTTTTTTAGATGCAAGTGCCAGGACCATGACTACAAATGACATTAAGTCACTTAAGTTATTTGGTGACAGGCAGTTCAAATTTTAGTCCAGAACTTCAAAGTGAACAAGATGCCAGGCTCTTCCTATCCTTCTACCCAGCCACCCAGCTTCCTGGCCTCTCATCCTGGGCATCCTGACTCTCAGATAAAAGACAGCTCTTACGTCCTCCAGCACCACCCTATCACACAACAGAGTTGAAGGCAAGGAGAACAGGCCTCCTCCCTTTTCTCAGATTTCCCCCGCAGACATCTCCTTGCATGTGTTGGCCAGAGTTGTGTGACATGGCCACCCCTTGTTAGGGAGGTGGAGGATATCTAGATCTAGCAAAGCGTTAGGAACATGAGACACAAACCAAATCAGTATTCTGTGGGCAAAGGAGAAGTGGAAGGCAACAGTGTCTGCCAATCTTCCAAAAAATATTCTTCATTCCATAAGTTAGCCAGGATCAATGTTGATGGCAAGCAACCAAGCACCCTACTTGATGTGCAAGGGGGCCAGAAGCCTCAAATGGAGACTGGCAGAGCAACGCATCAAGAGTCTCGAGCAGCGCACATATGAAGGTTTACAGAGTTCACCGGTATTGCTTCCATAGAGTGGCTGGGGTGGGAGATCCATTACGGTCAATTCATAAGGGATTGAGGGAGATGAGCAAGTGTACACTACCGTCGTGTGAAGATGGCTAGGTGTTAGGAGATGGATTCAGAGTTAAGAGGGCCACAGGGTCAAGGAATAGTGTGGTTTTAACACAGTCAATATTTGCACATACGATGGGGGAAAGTGCTATCAGCAAGAGAAAGGCTGATAATCTAGCAAAGAAGTGAAATAATACATGAAGACCCCACAGGAAATGAAAAAAGGTAGAGTCAGAGGCCCGAGCCCATGACTCTCCGTCTATGACTACCTCCCTTTACCAGGCCCATCCCTCAGCCTCGGGGTCACTCCTGCATCAAACCTGGATCTTTGGTTCAGGGCTCAACTCCAGGGAGGAATGAGCAGTGGTCTGGCTGAGGGTCTGCGGCCCTAGACTGTGGCCCCAGTTCTGCAAGTGAATTCCCAGGTGTTTCCCTGGCCTTCCAGAGTCTTTTCTTTTTTTTTAATTCATTTTAAAATGAAGAAAATTGACAAATAATAATGTATATATTTATGCAATTAGATGCATATATGTATAATTTTTCTTACTTGACTTGGACCAGAAATCTTTATGGTATCTTTTTAGGTCCTTATTTCTATAATTCTTAATTTTCCAAAATTATACCTTATCTAACCTCAAAAGATTCCCTCCCTCTGTATTCTTAATTCCCAAATAAGCTTTCTTATCTGACGTTTTTTACTTACTAGCTTACACCATATAGTTTGTGAAATATATTTCCTCTTCTACTAAATTGTAAGCACCCTGACAGCAAGAAGATGGTATGCACCAAACTTACTAATCAGCTGGTGTATTATTTTATGTTGAAAACAAATGAAACTAGCCAGGAGGAAATGAATCAGCAAAAAAATAATCATCAATTCCACAGAAATGACTTCTCCATACTTTAGAATTTACATATAAATATACATAGAAACAGGGTATCGTTCTGTCACTCAGACTACAGTAAGGTGGCATGGTCAAAGCTCACTGCAGCCTCAGTCCTGGGCCCAAGTGATCCTCCCATCTCAGCCTCTTGCGGAGCTGGGACTACGGGTGTGCCACCACACCCTGCTAATTTTTTCATCTTTTAGTAGAGAAAGGATCTTGCTATGTTGCCCAGGCTGGTCCCAAACTCCTGGCCTCAAATGATCCACCTGCCTCAACCTCCCAAAGCACTGGAATTACAAGCGAGAGCCACCATGTCCAGCCTAATTTTTTTTGTTTTGCCTCTACATATATTTATTGCCTATACATATACTTATGTAAAGAGTAGGGAAAAAACAGAGTAGAATTACAGGTGTTTCTTTTCTACCTACCTATATTTTCTAAATTCTCTACAATTCACATTTATTATTATTTCACAAGTTTTTAACATAATTTCAAAGGAAAAAAGTATTTATTATGGACCAAAGATTTTAAGTGAGGAAGAAAAATAAAATAAAAGGGCTAATTTAAAATATGCTTTTAGATGGCAACCTATCAGCCTTGATAAAAAGGACATATTATAAATTTAGTAGCAATAAATCCACAAAAACAGATTAAACAGCTTACCAGTAAGGCCTAAAATTGGGTATAAGTCCAACGAAACCTACATGAACCTAACAGGACAGCTCCCAGCATCTAAAACTCATTAAAGAACTGAAAATAAATAAATAAGAAAAAATAAGAGAAAGAAAAGGGTATACTAACTCCTTGTATTTTTCAATTCAAGAGGTCAAGAGTGAAATCCGACCCCAATATGTGAAGAAAATAGGAACTGTCTACTTCTGTGGTTTGGTATAAATATTTATGGAACTTCATGCTTCATAACCCTCCAAGTTCTTACTATTGTGTTTTTAGTTCTTAAAAATACAGATGCAGAAGAAAAACTTTGAAAAGCCTCTCCGATAAAAAATCAATCTAACTAGCTGAGGGGTACAAAGCACCCAGCATGGCTTCCTGACTTCTGCTGGGTGACAACTGTGGCATGAGAGATGCTACAAAGTAATGCTTCTGCTTCCTCCAGTACCTCCGGAGCCTTCCATTTGGTTTTCTATTAACTCTGATCCTTCTTAGATTTGAATTTGAGCTACAACAAAGTATTTCACTGCACAAGAACAAAAACATGTTACAGTATTATGGTTCTATGAAAGGAAACAGAATGTCATCTGTGGGTCTCTTGGTAAATCCATTCTGTAAAGCATTCTTTCCTTATAAATCTGAGGTTCAGTATGAATCCATGACACAGGAATGGTGGCATTTTCACTAAATCCAAGAATGTTTTAAATGTTAAAGTTCTATCTAAAAACAAGAACTACTAAGGTTTTCCATAAAGGAAAAAAAAAAAAAACATGCTCCCTCCATACTTTATCAAAATCAAAATGCAATGCTGGCCTCCTTAAATATGCCAAAATATGAAACCTTAGATTAAAATGTTGATTAAATCATGATGCTGCTACCAAGATTTTTCTTCCTTTGGCATAAATAAAATATTTTCTGTTGTTTTTAATTGACTGCTGCAGCTAAGGACTGAATGTTTCCTTTTGATATTTATTAAATGAAACACCAAGAACCAGGTGCACATGCATGCTGCCCCTGCTACTCAGGGAGGTGAAGACAGGAGGATAACTTGAGGTCACAAGTTTGGAGCCAGCCTAGGCCACCTATGAGATCCTGTCTCTTTAAACAAAAACAAAAACCCAAGATGCAAGACTACAAATCATAAAACTAAACATTTGAAAGGGAAAAAATTCCAGTGAACTTCGGCCTCACTTTAGGTACTGAGTGGAGGAAAAGAGAGATGGATGCTGCTAAAACCCCTGGTTCTTTCATTGCCACAGCCAAGTTCCCTTCCTTCAACACATCACCACCAGGGTTTTACAACTGCACCCTGTCCTCTAGTTCTGGAAATGCTCTTCAAAGTCCCTAAGTATCCCCAATAATACCTTTTATTAACATTACATCTTCTTCGCAACTATTTCAACATAGTTCACAAAAAAAATTCTGATTTAAGATTTTTCTCCAAGAAACTCCATCAACTACCTGCAAATATTCCTCTGATATTAGAAGCTAATTATGTCACCATTTTATATATAAATCAATCTGAGATCATAGAAGTTGCTGAAGGTCAGAGAGCTACTTAGCTCAGGAAGCATGGGTGAAACCCAAGTGTTCTGACTATCATCTCCAGAATTATTTTTCAATAAAGATGTCATACTTACACACATCTAATGCACTTAGAGGTTCAAGGTTTAATTTCAGCTAATGCTTCATGTTTCAACAGGCAACTCTATAACCAATTCAACAGAAATTTAACAATACACTGAACAGAGCCACTCAAAGCTTCATCGTATTCAAAGCAAAAGCTGCTTTGGACTTTCCAGAGCAAACTCAAAGTGGCAAATTAGTAAGACAGGGGGTCAGGGAGAGACCCCTGGAAACTATGAAGATTTTTGAAATGCAATTTGCTTACGTGTATTTCATTTCCACATTCTCTTTGTAATTCCCAAAATTCTCTTTAGAAAGCAGGTTTCCAATTAAGAATATTTTACATCTCTTTCTATACCATCATTTAAAAAATCAAAAACCTCTACAACAGTTCATTTGTGTGTCAAGTCTGCCATCTTCTGTTGATAAATGGAATTACAGCTGTTGACAAAACCAATTTACAAATCCTAACTTACACTCCTTAGATTTTAATTTTTACCTACTTGCATTGGGACCTATGTTCATCAAACCTTTCCCCCTTATAAGACTCTTTCCAATCACGCAAATAAGTTCAATCGTTGTAGGTATTAGTCTTCCCTCGCCTGACAAGACTGCTGTCACGGGTAATACAGACTACACAAGGAAGTCTTCTCAAAGAAAATAACTCTATCAACACTTAGTCCCTGTGTCTACAATTTGTTCACAGAATTTTATACAACCCAAAAGATAAGCCTCAAATGGCTTTTTTGCTTTTGTATTTTTCCATAACAGAAATGAGCCATGATTTCACAGGAGGTGACAAACATCCCATGGATGGATTTATAGATTCCCACCAATACAAAAATCTGAACGTTGAGGAGGTGGCAATGGTGACTGTATTTGCTTCCTACTGCTGCTCTGACAAATCACCACACATTTAGTGGCTTAAAACATAAGCTTATTATCTATAATTCTGAAGGTATGAATTCCAAAATGGGTCTTCCTGAGCTAAGACCGAGAGATGTCAGTCAGGCAGTATGCCTTCTGGAAGCTGCAAGGGAATGTTGACTTCCTGCTTTCTAGGGCTCCCCTGCACTCCTTGGTTTGTGGCCCCTCGCTCTATCTTTGGACCAGCAGTATACCATCTTCAGCTCTCTGACCCCCGCTCCCCTCTCCTAAGGACCCTACTGATTAGACTGGGCCCACGTGGATAATCCAGAAAACTCTTTCCACCTCAACATTTTTTTTTTTTTTTTGAGATGGAGTCTCACTCTGTCACCCAGGCTGGAGTGCAGTGGCGCGATCTGCAAGCTCCACCTCCCAAGTTCACCCCATTCTCCTGCCTCAGCCTCCCGAGTAGCTGGGACTACAGGCGTCCACCACCATGCCCGACTAACTTTTTTTTGCTTTTTTTTTTAGAGACAAGCTTTCACCGTGTTAGCCAGGACGGTCTTGATCTCCTGACCTCACGATCCGCCCGCCTTAGCCTCCCAAAGTGCTGGGATTACAGGCATGAGCCACTGCGCCCGGCCCCCATCTCAACATTCTTAATATTATCTGCCAAATCTCTTTCCCGTGTGAAGAAACACATTCAGAGATTTGGGGACTAGGACATATTTATGGGGGGGGGGGGGCATTATTTTGCCTATCACAGTAACCAACGGCAAATTTTGGAACCTGACCTTTTAAGAAACCAGTGATGTGAATCCTTACTGCACAAGTAGTATACTTACCGCTACTTCTGCCATTTTTTAAATACTACATGAAAAAGAAAACAGAGGTGCTCCTGGAAGTATACAGAGAAATATTTATCTAATTACTTATTCTACAGTGGTGTTTTATTATTAGCTGGGAATAATAATAGCTGGGAAACTTGGAGCACATCACTAAACTTCTTTGAATTTCAATTTTTTCACCTTCTGAATAGATACCTTTCCCAAAACTAGGAAATTCTAAAAACGTGCCGCATTCAGCAACTTGTGTGAAATGGGGCTAGACCCAATGTTTATTCAATATTTTGTGTGTCAGATGCTAGGCTGGACACTTTGTTAAGTGCTGTATAATTTCATCCTTGTAAGAACTGTGACTGGGATGGCATTAATCCTATTTTTTCAAGATGAGGAAAAGAGCATTTCAGTGAAGGCAAGTAAATGGCCTACAGACAAATAAGTGGACAAGTCACAAATCTGACCCCGATCTGTGTAACTTGACAGCCCATGGTCCATACCTTGCTACCTCCCTACAGACATCCTCAAATACTCCCTAGTTATTTAACAGATGGATCCAACTTACTTATATGCTCCTCAAAAACGGGGATCAAATTTCTTATTCGGTGTCTCTTAGCACCTATTAATAGTATTAGCTATACAACTCAAATATTGAAAAGCACACAATCACAAACCAAAGCAAATAAGTGACAGTTGCATTTAATTCAAGAACCCTAATCTTAACAAGGCAATATTTTAGGAAATAAAGGTTTGTCACTGACAGAGTTCAGGCTCGCTTGGAAGTGGCCAATCCTAACCTCCTTTGGTATTTTGGTCCTTTGAGAGTAGTATTCAGTCTTTCCATTTACAATGCAGTGGCAATAACTGACCAAGTTACACTCCTGTGGCTCAGAATCGTTTCTTCAACTTCATCAACCTATATGAAAATCATACTGTGCCTATAAAGCTCAACTTAATTGTGTTCTATAAACTCATGCAGCTCTTAAATAAAAAGTTAACAGAGCTTCCCTTCCTTTTTGTCCACTAACTAAATAAAAAAATCAATGAAATATACTCTCCCAGGTCATGAATCAATACCATCTGAACTAACACTGCATACTATATTAGAAAAAGAAAATCCATACAACAGAAAACAATCTGAAATATGTTAGAAAAGGAACTCATCGAGAAACTGGGGGTGAGGATGCAGATGGGGTACAATGTTCCTTTCTACAGGCCTCACTGATAAATCTCTTCAGCACATTCATGCCTGTACTATAGATGAATAACTACAAGCAAGGTCATAACCACACACAGATAATGCCAAGCCAGGGGAAGCCCTGACCCTCCCGTTCTGACCCTCTCTCTCTTTCGTCTTCTTTCCCTCTCTGCGTGTTAGCTCAGACTCAGATGGCTGGGCCCACTGGCAAGATGGGGCATGCTTATTCAACTTAGCTCGGTAGACTCCATTGGAGAATTCAAGTAGGTGCACAACACACATAGACACAACAAACTAAAAGGCATCCATGATGAAAAACGCACTGAAGGATGTCGCTGGAAGGGCTCCTGAAAGAATGATCATCTTTCCACCAGCTCTACCTCTTTAACATCTCTTGAACTCACTCTCTCCCTCTGCATCCCTCTGCCCCAGCTGTGGTTCTCTCCTGGGGATTCCTTTAATAGTCTCCTTATCTCCACACAGCTGCCAGGGGACTTTCTTAAAATTACAAGTCTGATCAAAAAAGTCCCAACTCCTTACTATAGCAGGCAAGGCCCTATAGCTCTCAGCCCCTGCTTCGCCTCAGGGTGACCCTATCATACTGTGCTCCAAACATATGGAACTTAAAACTACCTAACAAGGTCTTTTCAGAACTCTAACACCCCTCCTTGCACCCACCCACCTAACAAACCATCCTATTCTAAATGCAAGATAATAAAATTGTACTATAACTGAGACTCCTGCTAAATCAGATTTTAGCTGCCCTGCCACAAACACAAAACAAAAAGACTAATTATGTTAAATGATGGATATGTTGACTTACTTCACTGTGGCAACCATTTTACTATCTATACGTATCCCACATTGTGTTGATACCTTAAATAGATGCACAATTTTTTTAATGAATTAAATTAAATGCAGCTTAAAGCCTGGCTATTCTGTGAGGCTTTTTCTGAATTAACACCCATCCATCTACCCCAGTCCGGAGAAAACCAACCCCTCCTTCCCTTCAGTCTCTCACTCTACCTTGTACAGATGACCCTCAATTTATGACAGGGTTATGTCCCAATAAACCCATCATAAGTTGAAAACGCATGTGATACCCCCCAACCTACGGAACATCATTGCTTTAGCCTTGCCTCCCTAAAATTGCTCAGAATACTTACACCAGCACAGCTGACTGGGACATGCACTGCCCACCATTGCCAGAGAGCATCTTATCACCTATCACTAGCCCGGAAAAGATCAAAATGCAAAATCTGAAATACAGTTTCTACTGAATGCATCTCACTCTTGCACCATTGTAAAGTCATTTAAGTAGAACCATCGTAAGTCACGGACCGTCTATAGTTCCTTTTCTTAAAAATGCCTGTAACACTTTAGTGCACTTACAGCAAGCCTCTAAAAGGCAGTATCTTATCCTGTCATTTCATCCTCAATGCCTGGAACGTATTAGGAACTTCAGATCTAAATCCACATCACTAGGTAAGGACCATAGAAGTGGTGAAGGAATCTAAGATGAGCTGAACAAAAGCAACCTATTACAAAAAAGAATCAAAGATGTACAAGTGAGGAAATAATACAAAATAAAAGGAGTCTGGAAAACAAACTGCTTTTTATATGGTTGAGATAATTTTTTGTGTAATTCTTATGGTTTAGGGTTGCTAAGAAGGAATTTAAAAGTCTGCCTGCCTTATGTATTTAATGCCCTGAAGGAAGACTCCCAGACACACTTTGAAAAAGTCAACAGACAGGAAAATAGGGTGAAAGGTCCCATAATACATGGATGTGCTTAGACACATCACACAAAAAAAGTGTTTGTTTGAGTGCACTCAGGTATCTGACAGTTCTGTTTCAGCTTCTGTGTTTCCTGGTAATAGTCATACACTATTGATGAACCTTCATTCATCTTTATATACAAGCAATTGCCATCATCAGCTACATTTCACTGTGGCTCAGGGCAGCCATGTTATCTTCTACTTCACCTATCCCCCACGACTCACTTATACAACTGTGCAGAGATGTGGCAAAATATTCCAGCTGCAAGGGAGAGATAATCTGTATTGATCGATGAATATTTCAAAAGCATGATTAATTCAAAAGATAAAATACATTTCAAAAGTTGTCAACCTTTCTTCTATTATCTTGCTCAGTGGTTCTTCTTAGAAAAGGCCAGTGAAGATCATGAAGAATACTACGTACTCATTTTTAAAGCATGATATTAAGTAGATAAACAAAACAGCTTAAGCCACAACTAGGGAAAAACTCAGTAAAATGTGCACCATGCTCTGGAGCTGAAAAACACCACACAGCATCTATGCGTCCAATCCTTTAACCAGTGGGAAAGCTGAATAAGAACATGTTTGCCCCATATGCTGATACCAAAGGAGACCCTGGAATGGACTGTGGTACAAAGGGGGTCCAACGGCCTTGTCAGTTACTAAAGGAGCTAAACCATAAAACAAGCTGCCTTTGCCTACGAGGCTCTATGACAGCATGGGCCTTGGAGAAAACCTCATTCTAACTCCAGTTAAATCCAAATCTACATGTCTGAGTTCATTGTCACACTCAAAAATAACCAGTTTATTAAACTAGCCTTTTTAGGTCTAAAATATGTCATTTTGAGGAGAACAGAAAGAATAACACATTTGATCTACAAGTGGTACACCACACCCAGTGTTGTGCACCTACTAAAATATTATGTAGGGAATTACTGAGCCAATTCAGTAAAAATATTTACTACTGGGGTGTAAGTTCAGATGTTTTATGTGCCTAGATCAGTGGCATTAAATATTGGTGAGTTGCACAATCATCTAGAGATTGTGTTTAAAATACAGGAACCCTAGTGTCATCTCCAAAAATCCCCATTTGTAACTAGCTACCTACGCAACTGATGGTGAAGTATGGGGAGATGCTCATCGGGCCTTCTTGGGGAAGTACTGTTAGAGGCTGTCAGAAAAACATTTACAAAACATGATATCATTTATTTCCTAGCTTTTTCAATCCCAAGTCAGAACAGGACCATAAAGGACACTTGAAAAGGACACTCTACCAGCATCTAAGTGTATGAGGACATGTACATGTCACCTATGAACATACATTACATTCACAGTGTTGCTGCTTTCAAGGGTGAAGAAATTTCAATGTTTTTTTCATTTCTGACAATATGAATAAAGACAAAAGTAGGATAAGATACAACACGTCAAATCTTAAAACCTTTGAAGAAAAGAAAATCACTACCATTAGAATGTTATAGCATATGTACCGTTAAAGTAAACCTGCCCCAACCTTTGATCTAATTACAGATTCTACTTCCCAAAGGGCTTTTTCTGTGTGTGATGAAAACTGAGCTGGAAAATTATTGAGGTAGAGATTTAGAGATTTGGCACAGCAATCTTCCTAATAAAAACGGCACAAGCAGGACCCCTCTTGCTATTGTTACATGTTAAATCTTATTTGACTGATTTTACTGTATTCTAAATTGCAAACATAAGGTAGAAGGTTGTAATTATAGTTTCACTGATTCATCATTAAGTTTTAATCAAGCTGTTGCTACAGGGAATGGTTATTATTTTGGCACTGTTCTTTTGTTTCTAAGTTTCCTTAATAGTTGCTACAAGAAAGTAACTGTGGCTATATTCAACACAAACAAAATATGTTATTGTTTCTAACCAATCTGTCTAACATAATAATCTATCAAAGCAAATGTGTTACAGAATAATGATTGCACTAAAGTATTTCTTATAATCTCTAGGTTACTATACCTTTCTGACCATTGACAGCTATAAATGTTTTCTATTCCTATTTCTTTTTATTTTACAAATGAAAATTTATGTCCTCTAAATTCACCTGTTGGTTTCTCTTAATCTTGGCAACCATACTTCCATGAATCTGAAATCAAAAGTTTATCTTCTATGAGACTAAAACAGGTTACTAAAAAAAGAAAGGCGTAATATGTATATAAGCATTTATTGAGAAAATTCATACTGAATGGCTTCAGGAAGTTTAAGATCAAAGATTATTAGAGCATCAGAACCAATATTTCCACAAACTTCATAAATTTGGCAAACTTCTCAGCATACTAAACCATAACTGAATTTAAAGTCCATTTAAGGTCAATATTGGCAGGGTGCAGTGTCTCATGTCTGGATTACAGCACTTTGGAAGGCCACAGTGGAAGAACTGCTTGAAGCCAGGAGTTCAAGACTAGCCTGGGCAACATAGTAAGACCCCATCTTTACAAAATTGTTTTAAAAAATTAGCCAGGCATAGTGGCACCTGCCTACAGTCCCAGCTACTCAGGAGGCTAAAGTGAGAGGATCACGTGAGCCCAGAAGTTACAGGCTACAGCAGCTATGACCACATCACTGCTCTTCAGCCTGGTTGACAGAGTGAGACCCCATCATTCATTCATTTGTAAATATGTGTGTGTGCATTTGTGTGTGTGTGTGCATATATATATATATTTATATTTATATTTAAATAGCCAACATCAAGAAGTATTTCATGTGTAAAGTCCTAAATCTATGTACCCACTGCTGACCAATTGTCCTCTTAAGATTCTCTAGGGGCCTGGCGCGGTGGCTGACACCTGTAATCCCAGCACTTTAGGAGGCTGAGGTGGGCGGATCACGAAGTCAGGAGATCAAGACCATCCTGGCTAACATGGTGAAACCCCGTCTCTACTAAAAATACAAAAAAAAATTAGCCGGGTGTGGTGGCGGGTGCCTGTAGTCCCAGCGACTCGGGAGGCTGAGGCAAGAGAATGGCGTGAACCTGGGAGGCAGAGGTTGCAGTGAGCCGAGATCGCGCCACTGCACTCCAGCATGGGCGAAAGAGCAAGACTCCGTCTTAAACAAAATAAAAACAAAGATTCTCTAGGAATTGCCAGGCCTGGTGGCGCACACCAGTAGTCTCAGCTACTGAGGATCTCTTGAGGCCAAGAGTCTGAAGCCAACATGGGCAAATTACCAAGAGCCCAGCTCCATAGCAACTATAAATAGGTGTTTGATAATTGGCCTTACCAGCTCAGGGACCACAGAACCCCCAAAAGACACAATGTAGGTAAGAATGTCCTTATCTGTTGTATCTCCAGTCTCATGGATACTTGTTTCCTAATTCTAAAATCTACCTACCCCACCTCCCATGCCTAACAGTCCACATATCAAATGTTATGACATAATATTTGTAAATCTTAGAAACTTAGAGCCTTTTCCAAGGCTCCAATTTTTTAAAAATATTAGTTACAGATACTAGGAGCATCAGAATATAAACGACTTTCTACAAATAAAAAGATGTATGATTAACATGAGAAATCTAATAGCTACTATATGCCCTACCTATTATATCACTTTCTATTTTTTTGGACTGAAAGTTTATAAACTGAGGAAAGCCTGCCCTTCAACATGGCAAAATAACTTTCAGGCAAGATGGCCCCAGGTGAAATGAAGTGGCCAGGTTCTTTTTTTGTTGCTTGCTCTCAACAATGTACCAACAAATGTAAGTATACATACTCCAGACTAACTGCATGTAACGAGACTGTGTGTCAGGACATAATCACCTAAATTAATTTTAAAAAGAAACCAACTACTAACAGATGCTACAACACGGATGAACCTGGAAAACACTACACTAGCTGAAAAAAGTCAGTAACAAAAGACCACATATTGTAGGATTCCATTTATATCAAATGTCCAAAATAGGCAAATTCATAGAGATAGAAAGTAGACCAGTGGTTGCCTAGGAGTGGGGAGGGTTGGGGTGAAATGGGGATTGTGACTGCAATGGGTAAGAGCTTCCTTTGGGGAGAGATGTTTTAAAATGGACGCTGGCAAAGGTTGTACAACTCTGTGAATATGGTGTAAACCACTGAATTGTACACTTTAAAGGGGTGAACTGTATGGTATGTGAACTGTATCTCAATAAAGCTGGTTTCTTTAAAAAAAAATCTTCTTCATGTTAACTTTTACTTTTGTGTTACCTCTCTTTCCATATCCCCAGTTCACTTATTCTTAAACAAGGAATATTAGGTTACTAAACAGTTTGTAGATTCTTGTTCAAACTTCCTAAAGAAAAAAAGTGCATCAAAAACAAATTCACAATATAACACAATTTTTAATGTAAATGTTATAAAGGTTAATTCATTTCCCAAGTTTCCTATGTAAACATATGCCATTACTTTTCTAATTACAAAGAAAAGTGTGATTTGATAAAAGGCTTACAAACTTAAGACCTTTATCTTCACTGTGTTGTCCATTTCTATTATGCCCATCACAAGGATGGGGGTTTAATAAGACTGCATGAATACCAGGCTGTGTGATTTGAAAATAACACTAATAAGCAACATAAAAGGCTGTCCCTCAGCATTGTGCAGAAGGGGTAGGGAGAAAGATAAGTTAATGAGGGGAATGAAGAAACTTTTATTTGTATTATACATTTCTCCTCTGCATTAGTTTTGAGGTTTTGTTTTTTTTTTTTTTTTTAATCATAACTGTGTTTACGATTTCGGTTTAAAATATCAATTTTGGCCAGGCACAGTGGGTCATGCCTATGATCCCAGTACTTTGGGAGGCTGAGTCAGGAGGACTACATGAGACCAGGAGTTCGAGACCAGTCTGGAAAACATAAAGAGACCCCCATCTCTTCAAAAATAGAAACAAAAAATAAATATCACTTACACTTACCACTTACAGTACTGTGTTCTACTTTGACTGAAATTATTTACAAAAGAGTTTTTTGTTTGTTTTTTGTTTTTTTGAGACAGAGTCTCGCTCTGTCGCCTAGGCTGGAGTGCAGCGGCTTGATCTCGGCTCACTGCAAGCTCTGCCTCCCGGGTTCATGCCATTCTCCTGCCTCAGCCTCCCAAGTAGCTGGGACTACAGGCACCCACCACCACACCCGGCTAATTTTTTTTTTTGTATTTTCAGTAGAGACGGGGTTTCACGGTGTTAGCCAGGATGCTCTCGATCTCCTGACCTCATGATCCACCCACCTTGACCTCCCAAAGTGCTGGGATTACAGGCGTGAGCCACCGTGCCCGGCCAAGAGTTTGGTTTTTAAACACATGGTAGGAACAGACTGCCTATTTTTTGTCACTGTTGCCAATTTTACTTCATTATAATGACACAACTAATGATCTGTAATGACAATGTCTCTGCAGTATTCACTAAAACTGGCCCTGTGGGCTATTGTTATTAAGTTCCAATTATGCTTGAAAAAGTCTATCTTCTTTACTTGTTGGGTGCAAAGTTTTACATGTATCAACAGACCAATCTTGTCATTGTGTTGTTCAAATCTTCTATGGCCTTAGTAAGTTTATGCCTACTTCGAGAGAGAGATGTGACTATCTCCAACTAAGACTACAGTTTTCTTCATTTCTCCATAAAATTCTGTCAGTTTTTGCTTTATATGTTTTGAGACTATGTTATTCAGTGCAGGTTCGGGCTTGTTACATCTCCTGAAAGAACTGTTCCAGTATCATTGTGCACTGGTCTCTTTGTTTTTTGCCTTACGTATTTTTTCCTAATATTAATATTATTCCACAAACTATTTTTCAATTAGTATTAGGGTTTCATCACAGAAGCAAAACCACTATGAGTGATAAGGATTATAGAGATTTGACCAGTAATTATGGGAGCTAATTAAGCAGTTTGTATAGGGCTGTTGCTTCTCCATCTAGTGTTGGGATAGAAATCAAAGGGCAGGCAACAGGGAAGGAAAGATGGATGTGAAGTTGGGGAAGAACAAGGACAGACTGGAAGTCACATTTATTTCTCACCAATCTGTGACAGAGAATTTGCAGTATAAGCTGGCACCCTTCATGACAGAGCCCACAAATCTGACCTAGAATTTGGAGAAGCTGATGGAAAAGAACCAGTGGGAGCTGGAGGAGCTGGAAGCCAAACGTCAACATGGTGATACAGCCAAGTCAGTGACAGGGTGTGTGAGCTGCAACAGTGCCTGACCATATACCAACCTTCTGAGCAGAAATACAGCTCTTCACTTCTACCTTACAAAGAACATGCAAATTTCTCTTGTGGCTGACCCAAACTGAAACTATTTCGGAAAGGAAATTCTCGGAAAAGTAGTTCCAGCTCAGTTGTACCGACACAATACAAAGCTGTCACAATTCGAATGGATATTTTCTTCCACTCTTTGTCTTTTTTCCATATAATTATGTTTTACATCTGTCTCTTGTAAATTACACATAGCTAGAATTCTTCTTCTGTCCTATATAAGGCTCTGTCTTTTAGTTGTCAGGCTCTATCTTCGAACTGTCATATTTAATCCATTTACATTTATTGCCATTTATGACTTTCATAATTTAAAAATAATTTTTAAAAAATGAAATAAATATGTACTGAAAATATATGCATGATGTGCATTTCTGAAGTATTTTATACACAAAACTTGTTACTTACCACTTCTCCAGCAGAGGCAGCCAACATATGTTTCATAGGTGTCAAATATGAAGATGAATCAGCATGCAAAAACCACTTCACATATTCATAGGTGATAAAAAATGCAGCAGCTGAAATTTAAAACAAGCCAGTCTTTCACAAAGTTTAAACATATATTCACACTGTTAAGAAACATGTTTCTCAAAAAGTATGACAATAATTATTAAATTATGAGATAAGAGAAAAGGTGATAAGCACATATCTTTTCTTCCTACCCCCACTCTTTCAGAGTTTACTGACGCCATGGTATATGCCTGATCTTAGACTTACAAAAATGCAGAAAATATAACACCTACCCTGAAGGAGCACAAGTGCTAATCTAGCACTTACCGTGTTGTACTGACAAATTACTTATACATTTTTAAAGTCAACTTTAGAAAAGGATATGAATTTCTGTGATCCAAAATATCATTATGGATGGCCATAAAACAATCAACTACATTGATGAATAAACAGGTTAAAATTGCAAACATACTTTAAAGAAAATGTCTATTCTATAATGTTTTATTACTGGTTACTCAAAATAATCATGGCTATTTTTTACTGCATGAATTCACTTTTACATCAAGAAAACAATCAGCCATTTAATTAAAATCTCTAAAAACCTCTAAAAAGCTACCCCTATCACAATGAACTAATCATAGCTGCATATGACGGCTTTAAAACTTTCTATGTACTGTTAACCAAAAAATGTTTATCAGTTGGATAAAAGATAAGGCACAAGAGATAAAGGAATGACAAATTCATCTTCTGAAGGGCATCTGAACATGTCACTAACTCTGAAACACTAAGGAAAACAGCTTGATGGTGAAAATCAGTTCTCCAAAGTCAACAAAAGCTTGTAAAGGATCTTCACGTGCTAACAAATATACACTAGGCTAAATGAAGAGGCACTCTGTCCATGAATGAATAATGACCAGTTCAGGTAGTTTTACCTGGTTAACACAAGTCTATTCCCATTTGTGTTTCTTCATGTGATTTTTCCCACTTCAGCCCACTTAATAAATGTGCAGCTATAATACCTCTAATTGCATTCAGCTGTTAAGTTCTGCCACTCTACATCCTACCCTCCTAACCCCCAAGAAAAGGGAGAGAGACAGTGGTAAAACTTCCTCCATTTCATGGTTAACCACCTCAACTTCATCTGACTTTATGGCTTCTTTTGTAACATAAAAGGTTCTTTAAGAATATAAGTTCCAAACCTCCCTCCACCCTCCAGGTGGCATCCAAGAAGGCCTCTACTAACTGCAAATGTCAGTACAGTCAGGTTCCAAGTTGGGGGCTGAACAAGTTAAAGCAAAGAATAGGGGCTGGGCTAGCTGATGCCTATAGTTCCTTCTGGCTCTTTAAAAAAAAAAAAAGCTATGCTTTCTCTACATTCCCTTCAAAATAGGGACTAAGGCTCCTAAACATGGTCTTCTCTTCACCTCTTTCCATCTTTGTTTCCCTCTAGCCCCACCCCAACCCCTCACTCCTGCAGCATAGGTTTACAAAAACATCCACATCCACTGATGATCAACTACAGTGAAGTTCTGTACTTAGATTAAAACCGTAACCAATAGCAAAAGAAAAAAGACACCACACACAAAAGTCCAATTCTTTCAAACTTGGCAGTAAAACAAGGCTATTTTTGAACCCTGGTACTCTGACTTTTCCCTAGCATCTCCCATTCACTGAAGTTTCATGGATGGCAAAAATAATACTAATAATTCAAAACCACATTATATATGTAAACTCCCGAGGGAAGAATGTAAAACCTGTGATCTTAATGACATCACTATGTAACCTACGCACTACAGCTAATTGTACATCTTCCCAAAATAATCTTTCTATGCAATATGTAAGATAAAAGGATCTTTAGAAGAATGAGTGTAGAGACACCATAAAAAATGGTGACCAAAAGATAGGGACTTTGTGACATGTTTCTTTGCAATTCCCTAGTTCAGAGGTTCTCAAACTTGTCTGAATTTAAGAATCATCCTGGGATTTTTTTTATAACATCCAATGCCCAATCCACACCTCAGACCAATTAAGTCACAATGTGTAGGGTTGGGTGACAAGCAGCAGTACAGGTGATCCTTGAACACGGGTTTAAACGCACAGGTCCACTTACACATGGCTTTTTTTCAATAAATATACTGGAAAAATTTTTGGAGATTCGTGATAATTTGAACAAACTTATAGATGAACCACATAGCCTAGAAATACCAAAAAATTAAGAAAAGGTGGCCAGGTACGGTGGCTCACGCCTGTATTCCCAGCACTTTGGGAGGACGAGGCAGGTGGATCACGAGGTCAGGAGATCGAGACCATCCTTGGCTAACACAGTGAAACCCCGTCTCTACTAAAAATACAAAAAAATTAGCCGGGTGTGGTGGCGGGTGCCTGTAGTCCCAGCTACTCAGGAGGCTGAGGCAGGAGAATGGCATGAACCCAGGAGGCGGAGCTTGCAGTGAGCCAAGATCGCACCACTGCACTCCAGCCTGGGTGAAAGAGTGAGACTCTGTCTCAAAAAAAAAAAAAAAAGAAAAGAAAAGGCTAGCCCTGTCATGAATACATAAAATATATTTAGATACTAGCCTATTTTATCATTTACTAACATAAAATATAAAAAGTTAAAATTCATCAAAACTTACAAACACAAACCATATAGCACATCATTCATAGTTAAGAGAAATGTAAACAAATGTAAAGATGGGCCAGGCACAGTGGCCCACATCAGTAATCCCAGCACTTTGGGAGGCTGAGGCTTAAGCTCAGGAGTTCAAGACCAGACTGGACAACATGGAGAAAGTCCATCTCTACAAAAAAATAAATAATTAGCCAGGTGTGGTTGCCCACACCTGTAATCCCAGCTACTTGGGACTGAGGTGGGAGGATCACCTGAGCCTGGGAGGTTGAGGTTGCAGTGGGCCAACGTCATGCCACTGCACTCCAGTCTGGGCAACGGAGTGAGACCTGGTCTCAGGGGGAAAAAAATGTATAGTGTTAAATCATAACTGCACAAAATTAACTGTAGCACATACTATACTACTGTAGTAACCTCTTTGCCACCTCCTCTTGCTATTATAGTGAGTTCAGGTGTTGCGGAGTATCCACTTAAAATGCCACGTGACACTAATTATCTCCACAGGAGCAGTTCATGGCCGCAATAAATTGCCTATCACAGAGCAAAAGGATCTCTCCCAGTTCTTATGTATTTTTTGTCGTGGTTAGTGCCATACCACAAACTTTGAATAACACCACAGGACCCAGATGAAGTGCCACTAGTGATGCTGGAAGTGATGACATTTCAAGAAAGCTCCTAAGAAGCAGAAAGGAGTCATGACATTACAAGAGAGAGTCAAATTGCTTGTTAGGTACCACAGACTGAAACCTGAAGCTGTGGCTGCCAGCCATTTCAAGATGAATGAATCCAGCTTAATCCACTGTTAAAAAAAAAAAAAAAAAAAAAAAAGAAAGAAAGGAAACTCATTAACCCATCGCTGCAGCTATGCCAGCAGGCATGAAAACTTCACACTTCCTGCAAAGTACCTTTTTTCTTGTTTTGAAAATGCAGCTTTCATGTGGGTAAAGGGTTGCTATAATAAAGGCATACTTACTGTCTCTAAAATGATTTGAGAAACAGCAAAGTCATTTCATGACAAGATCAAACAAAAGGAAGGTGAAAGATCTAAAGCTGAAGAAGTTAATGCCAGCCAAGGATGGTTTGATAATTTTAGAAAAAGATTTGGCTTTAAAATGTCAAGATAACAGGAGAAGCAGCTTCTGCCATCCATGAGTCAGTAAACAAGTTCCCAGCTGCCATTAAGTAAATTATTGAGCAGAAAGGACATCTGCCTGAATAGATTTCTAATGTAGATGAGAGTGCCCTGTTCTGGGAAAAGAAAAATGTCACCAAGGACATTTATCAGTAAGAAGAGAAGTAGGCAAATCCTTCACAGTATTCATGACAGAGCCAATCAAGAAAACCATAAAAGAGATTGTGGATGTGGCAAAAAAAAAAAAAGGTTGGGGATGAAGGGTTTCAAAACATAGATCTTAAATTCAAGAGCTAACAGACACCACACCAGAGGAATTAACAGAAGACAACTTGGTGGAGATGAGTGCTTCCAAACCAGTGTCAAATGACAAGGGAGAAGATGTAGAAGAAGGAATGCCAGAAAAGAAAATGACATCAGACAATCGAGCAGAAAGGTTCTGATTATTAAAGACTGCTTTTGACTTCCTTTATGACAAGGACCCTTCTATACAATATGGGCATTGAAACTAAAGCAAATGGTGAAAGGATTGGTACCATAAAGAATCATTTTTAGAGAAATGAAACAGCAAAAAGGTGAGACAGAAACTATGATAAATTTCCATAAAGTTACACTATGTGAGCCTGCTTCTCTTGCCTCCCCTTCCACCTCCTCTACTTCTTCTGCCTCTGCCACCCGAGACACCAAAACCAAGTCCTCTTTTTCCTCCTCCTCCTCAGCCTACTCAACATGAAGACCTTATGATGATCCACTTCCACTTACTGAATATACGTTTTCTCTTCCTTATGATTTTCTTAGTATTTTTTCTCTGGCTTACCTGATTGTAAGAATACAGTATATAAAACATTTGCCAGGCGCAGTGGCTCACACCTGTAATCCCAGCACTTTGGGAGGCCAAGGCAGGCAGATCACGTGACGTCGGGATAACATGGTGAAACCCCGTCTCTACTAAAAATAAAAAAATTAGCCAGGTGTGGTGGCGTGTGCCTGTAATCCCAGCTACTCAGGAGGCTGAAGCAGGAGAATTGCTTGAACCCAGGAGGTGGAGGCTGCAGTGACCAGAGATGGCGCCACTGCACTCCAGCCTGGGGGGTGACACAGCAAGACTCCATCTCAAAAAATAATAATAATAATAATAAAACACATAAACATGTGTTAATACATATCTTAACACACAAAGTATGTGTTAATCAACTGTTTATGCTATCATTAAGACAGCAGCAGGCTATCAGTAGTTAAGTTTTGGGGGAGTCAAAAGTTATATTCTGATTTTTGACTGCACAGGGGATCGACACCCCTAACTGCCAAATTGTTCGAGGGTCAACTGTATTTGTTTAAGCTCTTCAGTAATCAGGTGATTCCAAAGTGGACAAATTGGGGAACCCATGCCCCTCTCACGTACTTAAAACTATGCTTGGCATGGAGTGGATGCTCACTTAACAACTTGTTACAATTACTCAGAGTATTAACATACACAAAAATCGAAAGATGACCAAAACAGTTTGCCATTCTAATGATGGCTGGGGGATGGGGAAGGGCAGGAGAAAAAAAGAAACAGAAATACTGTTTTTCTCTTTGCACTACAAACCTTTATGTGAATGCTATGCTCACAGAATGAACATTTAAATGTCAGGTTAACGTAAGAGAAAAAAATTCTCATGAATCATCCTGCGAAAAACAAAAGCAATCCCCAGAATTTAAGAATCTTCTAGAGCTGTGGTTTTGTGGGTGTGTCTTATATATGGTGATTTTTTGTTTTGTTGCTTTAGTTTACTTTCAAATGCCACTAGAGGCATCCAACAGTAAACAATTAAAATAAGTATCTGCAAACAGTATACCAAGAAGCAGATTAAACAAAACAGATTACATTGACTAAAGAGTAAGAGCGTCATAAGTCACATGACTTCAGAACCAAAACAAAAGACATTGGAAGGACAGTATCCAGGAGAACATTAGTGAGAAACACTTGCATCATGTAAGAGCAATTTAATTAGGATAGAAATGTGTAATGCCTCTTAGGTTCACCTGCTCTCTAAGATGCTCCAAAGCAGCTATTATCAAACTTGGCTTCACAGCGGAGTCACCTTGGAAGTTATTAAAACTCCTAATACCCAGGCGAAGCCTAGACCAATTAAACTTCTAGGATGACACAGGACATCAGTATTTTTTAAGGCTTCCCAGTAGATTCTAATGTGCAGGCAAAGTTGAGAATGATTGTTCTGAAGAATCACAGCATTAAAATAACACTTTAAGGATTCTAGTTGGAAATTTTAACAACAGAAACAATTTTTAAAAGATTGCTTTTTTTTTCCCTACTACAAATATATTGAAATGGAATCTATAACACTATCTGATTCAAAAATAATGGGTTAGGCCCAGCACAGTGGCTCATGCCGACTATAATCCCAGCACTTTGGGGAGCCCAAGATGGGCAGATTGCTTGAGCCTAGGAGTTCAAGACCAGCCTAGACAACATGGCAAAACCCATTCTCTACAAAAAGTACAAAAATTAGCTGGGCATGGTGGTGCACGCCTGTAGTCCCAGCTACTTAGGGGGCTGAGGCAAGAGGATTTCTTGAGCCCAGGAGGTCAAGGTTGCAGTTAGCTATTATCTCACCACTGCATTCCCACCTGGGCGACAAAGTGAGACCGTGACTAAAATAAATAAAAAATAATAATGACACCAGGTTAAAGAAGGAAATTCAGAAGATAAGCTTCAACACACAAGGAATTCTATGGGGGTAAGACCACACACCATTCTGAAAATCCCATCTTATCTTGGCTTTACAGAAGTGAGAATATAATTTTTTACCATTAGGAAAGGATCCAATAGCAGCAGAAGGAACGCCAGCATATATTCCATGAAAACCACCAGCCTTACTAAATCCTTGGGGACTCTGCAGCCTGGTTTTAATGGTATCCAGAGGAAATAATATCAAGTCAACAGAAACACCTGCTACCCCACCAGCCTTTGAAAAAAAAAGAGGGAAGAAAAAGAAAAAAAAAAGGTTACAACAAAATAAGCTCTCGGCCACTTGGGGGCGAAGATAGGAAGACAGTCTTTAAAGCACATTTCTCATTCCTTTCAGTCCACAACTTCTGCGGCACAAAGGACCGTCAGCCTAAATCTACAAGTTTTCCTGGGAAAATAGCCATTATTGTGCTATATTTTTAAGTTGTAAATTTTATATTTTCTTTTTAAATCAATTTTTAATAAAAAAATTTTTAAACAAAATTTAAATTCATTGTTAATATAGTACTCACATGGTTCAAAAAGCCAAAAAAAAAAAAAAAAAAAAAAAAAAAGTCCAGATGTGGTGGCTCATGCCTCCCAGCAGTATGGGAGGCAGAGGTGGGAGGATCACTTGAGGCCAGGAGTTCAATACCAGCCTGTGCAACACAGTGAGACATCATCACTACAAAAAATAAAAAATTAAGCTGGGCATGGTGGCACATGCCTGTAGGTCCAGCTACTTGGAAGGCTGAGGAACAAGGATAACTTGAGCCTAGGAGTTCAAGGGTTCAGTGAGATGTGATCCCACCACTGCACTCCAGCACAGGTGACAGAGCAAGACCCTGTCTCTTAAAAATAAATAGCCAACAAGAACAACAAATAAACTTCAGAAAAAAGGTAAAGAGCTCAAAGTCTCCTTCCAATCTTGTTCCTAATAACTCAGGTAAACCACTTTTATTGGTTTCTTGCTGTATCCTTCCAAAGTTACTTTAAACATATATAAGCATGTATGAACATATAGTCTCATTTTCTTTAAAAAGAAAAGATGATGTACAATATGCACTATTCTGTACTTTTTTTAACGATTTATCTTTTCACGTCAGACCAAATGTTATATTGTTGTCTTAACTAATAAGCAGTGAATCCGAATTGACTCCTTTCAGACTGGAATTTTGAAACAGCTTATAATCTCTGTGAATCTGGATCTGTATTTTAATAATCACACATCTAAGGACTCATACAGTATTCTCTTTGCTTTAAATGTATTTGAAAATTCCTTGATAATTTTTAAATCAAGTGAATAAATTGATTTTTTTAAGAGCTAAATTCCTAAAGGAAATTAAAATCTGGCCCAAACTAGTCATCTCCCAAGAGATACCATGTTGCTTTGGGGAAGCTGTACTTTAAAAACTGATTAATTTCTGCTAAATGGATTTTGGGGGGAAAAAACTGATTAAGAACTAACTCTGTACCTCATGATTATAGTGACAAATATGTAGAATATTTTTAAACTCGTTACACCTTAGTCAAAGAAAACAGAAATTGACAAAATATGAACACGAAGAGCATCAAAGAAAGGCTAATACATATGAATCCTTACATGTGTGATTATTAAAATACAGATCTAGATTCACAAGGATCATTAGTTGTTTCAAAATGTGGGTCTCAAAAATGTCAATACAGATGCACTACTTACTAGTGAAAAAGACAAAAACATAACGTTTGTTCTGATACGAAAAGATCACCCAGATCTAAAGGCATCATTTAAAGATGTGAGTCAAAGTCAGTTTACAGCAGGCAGGCAGAGGCATTATAAAGAGGAAACTTTCCTACATAGTAATTTTTTAACTAAATTGCTATTTTTTGCTATATTTTGAAATCAGAACCATGTAAATACATTACCTATTCAAAAAGTAAAAATACACATTTTTAAACTATACATTTCATGACAAAGGAAAAAAAGATCATCAGTATTATTCAAACATACAATTGAACTTCAAACTGATTGTTTCCATCCTTCGAGTTTACAAAATGTGCAATGCTACAAAGCTTGGTACCTAGCAAATACTATCTGCTTTACTTACCGCTCACCATAAAACCATCCCAGGAGTTAACTTGAAAAATGAAATACTTTAATGATAAATCCAATACCTATTTTCAAATTAACTAGCACAGGTTAATTATTAAAAATTAATTTACACTAGACAAGTACATTACTATAAATAGTAATACTATACTTCATGATCAGCCCAAAGACATTAAAGAAGCCCAAAGACCCTGAAGTTCTAATCTGCAAATTACCTAAGAAGACGTCACCCAAAAGGGCACAGAGATGTGCCAGTAGAGAAACCAAGTAGTACCAAAAGAATATCCAATAACGTGGGATTTCTTTCTGGATATAAAGGTGGCCTTCCCTAAGTCATGGGAAAAAGTTCACAAGTAATGTAGGAAAGTAAAAAGGCCAATTGTCAAAACTCTTCTTAATTCTTGTTTCAGGATTTTTATAAAATTCAGTAAGTAGAGCCGGGCATGGTGGTATGTACCTGTAATCCCAGCTACCTGGGAGGCTGAGGCAGGAGGATCGCTTGAGCCCAGGAATTTGAGATTACAGTGAGCTATGATTATGCCCATGAATAGCCACCACGCTCCTGCCTGGGCAACACAGGGAGACTCATCTCTAATAATAATTTGGTAGGCAAATATTTTGCATGCCTCCTCGTTTTCTCAAAATACAGAGAGAATAGAACCCTGGCGAAAATGTCTCGTGCGACTAGATTATTTAAAAACATGCTGCACTTCACTCTAATTTTCTCTTTAATCTTAGGAGAGAATTCAGAGAAGTGCTATCTACTGCTAAATTTTAATCAATAATTACTCTTTCAATCTAGTTGGCTACCTTACATGTATTGATTCTCTAACCCTTCTTTCATCACAATTATTATCTTCTGAGGAAAAAAATGACCAGATTCAATTTACTTGTCTGGTAAAACATCACTCAAGGATTACTAAACGCTTCTATCGATTTCAAACTTCTATATAACTCAAATGTCATTTAAATTCATGCGACTGAAAAAAAAGAAAAACAGCTAACAGAGAACCTGAAGAATAAGAATACCTATATATTTATCCACACAACCACATATTTCAGATTTAAACAAAATCCTTAAGGAATGCCTATATCAATATTGTTTTGTATGTAATTATGTAAAAAATATATAAGCCAGTAACAACCTAATTATAAAGAACTCCATCAAACTCTTTTATTCTTTAGCCTGAAAATGTTATTTTGCTATAATCATCTATCAGAAAGTTATCAGGCAAGTGATTCATTTCATAATTTATGGTAGCTTATACCGAAAAGTTCTAACTAGAAAAAAATCCAAAGAAATAGGACATAACCCAGATAACCAGCAAACCTTGCTACAGCATCACAATGTATCGAGACCTCAATATCTTATAGATAAAATACATGTCTCTACCTTAAGTTAATAAACGTATGAAGTGTTGGCAGACTGTAGAGAGGAAGTGCCCAATTAGTGCTCTGCAATTACTCTGAGAAGTTATAGGTCAGAATTACATGCTATAAAACTTTTTTTCTCAAAAGGAGGAGGGCACACCATAAAAACAGCATTGCTGCTCCCCTCTAGGGCAAAACCAAACCATCTGTGTAATGTAACTAAGCAAAATTAATAGAGGCCACTGGCCTAAACGACAGCTAAGAAGAGCCAGCCATAACATTAACATGGCTTCTCAAGGGAAACATTCCCGACAGTCTCGGTTTCCTCCACCATGAAGTTGCCACCCATGACTTGAACCACCATCTTCCTCACTGCAGAACTGCCACCTCTGCTTTCTGACATACCTGTCGTCTTCCCCACTTCCCATTCATTCTCCCTGCAGTGCTCGCTGCCTCTCTGTACTAATCATTTTCATAAAATCCAAATTTCATCTTGCCACTCTCCAGCCTATAAATCTTCCAAACTTTCCAACAGCCCCGAGGATGAAGAAGAAAATCCTAGCACAGCCTTCCAGGCTCTGGAGGTTCTGGAGCCCCTCCAACTCCCAAAACTCGCACTATGTGCCCTTTGTTCAGTCCTTTCTTTCCACCTGGATCTTTTCCTCTAAATCATCTGATCTTCCTCATTTCAAGGAGTTTGTACAGATGCCCCCTAATCTCCAGTTCAGGTTTAGATCTTGTTGTTTCCAAGCACTGAACACAATTTTAATTACATAGTTTTGCCTCTGACCATTTGTTCAGTACCAGTCCAATTAAACCACAAGATCTATATCTGTTTTGTTTACTAATATGTTTCCAGCACCAGCACATATTAATAGGAGGCATTCAATGGCTCTAATAAAGGGTTACTATCTATATTTTAGAAGGCACTACAAATCAACCTTAAAAAGGTACACTGAATTTTTTTCAAAAATAGCAAAAGACAGGACCAGGCAATTCCCAAAAGAAAAATATAAATGACTAACAAAAATATGAAAATATGATTCTCTGTCATTATCAAATAAAAACAAAATGTTTTCCCAATTAGAAAAAAATTAAAAATATGAAGAATGGGTACAGGCACTGTTAACGAAAACATTACCATAATCTACTGGAGGACAATTTGGCAAAATGAACATTTTAAATTATCAAACCTTTGATCCAGTTATTACTAAGCATTTCTTCCACAGAAATAAATGCACAAATATACAAGAATGTCTACTACAGCATTTCTGTAATAATAAAAAATTGAAAACAACCTAAAAGTCCATCCACTGGGGCCCTGTTAAGTAAATTAAGCTATACACAAATAATGAATTGCTACATAGCCTTTAAAACAACAAGGTAGGCTGGGTGCAGTGGCTCATGTCTGTAGTCCTAGCTGCTGGGAGGCTGAGGTGGGATGCTCACTTGGGCCCAGGAGTTTGAGGTTGCAGTAAGCTATGATCACGCCACTGCCCTGCACTCTAGCTTGGGCAACAGAGCAAGATCCTGTCTCTAATCAAAAAAAAAAAAAAAATGAGGTAAACCCATACTTATTGGCACAGAAACATACACTATATTCTTAAATTAATCAAATTAGCTATAAAACAATATATGCTATATAATCCCATCTTTTAAAATGTGTAACTATTTGTATATGCATAATTAGAAGTCTGGAACATAAACAGTAAATTGCTAGAAATTATTGCCTCTGTGGAAAGAGATTCAGGATGAGAAATACTACTGTTAATAATATTTCTTGTTAATTTTTTAACAATTAATTTTTAAATAATTTTTAACAATTTTAAATAACAAGAATTATTAATTTTTTAAACAACCTTGTTAATTTTTTATTTGCTCAAGTTTTGTAATGAATATTACAAATATATAAAAGCTAAGCCATTCAAAATTCATGCTTCCCCTGGGGAAAAAAAAAATCTCTAATTTACTGGTTGTACTTGATATATAGAAGCCACTCAGCAAACGGTAACTAAGAACCTCAACCTACTGACCCTAAGCTACCTCCTCTGCAGCTTCATGAAGCTTCACCCTCTATAGACCTTGGAGTGTTCAACCAATCTGACTACTCGAACATCTCAAACACGTCCTGAAACAATTTATTTTTTGAGATGGAGTCTCACTCTGTCACCCCATCTGGAGTGCAGTGGCACAATCTCAGCTCAATGCAACCTCTGCCTCCCAGGTTCAAGCGATTCTCCTGACTCAGCCTCCGGAGTAGCTGAGACTACAGGCACATGCCACCATGACTGGCTAATTTTTATATTTTTAGCAGAAGCAGAGTTTCACCCTGTTGGCGAGGCTGGTTTTGAACTCCTGACCTCAGGTGATCCACCAGCCTTGGCCTTCCAAAGTGCTGGGATTACAGGCATAAGCCACTGCACCCAGTTGTTTCCTAAAACTTCTCATTCCTGTGCTTCTGCTTAGGTTTTTCTCTCAGTCTAAAATTCTGGTTTTTTTTTGTTTTTTTTTTTTTTGAGACAGAGTTTTGCTCTTGTTGCCCAGGCTGGAGTACAATGGCACGATCTCGGCTCACTGCAACCTTCACCTCCCAGGTTCAATTGATTCTCCCGCCTCAGCCTACCAAGTAGCTGGGATTACAGGCGTGAGCCACCATGCCCGGCTAATTTTTTGTATTTTTAGTAGAGACAGGGTTTCTCCATGTTGATCAGGCTGGTCTTGAACTCCAAACCTCAGGTGATCCGCCCACCTCAGCCTCCCAAAGTGCTGGGATTACAGGCATAAGCCACCACGCCCGGCCTAAAATTCCCTTCTTATCCTTGTCTCCTGCCTATTGCAGCCAGCAAACCACCATCGCCTCCACCCCCCTACATACATACATGCACACACACACCCCTGACAAAATCCTCTCCGTTCTTAAAGCTGCAACCCAATGCCACATTCCTCATAAAGCCTTTCCCAATTTTCCAGTCAGAATTAAATGCTATGTCCTTGACTCTAGTATATAATGTTGTTTATATTTCACTTTTGGTACTAACCATCACTCTAGTATATAATGTTGTTTATATTTCCTTTTGGTACTAACCATCATGTCTGACGTTTAGATCCTTCAGAGTAGAAACCAGATCAGTCACCTGCCTTCCTAAATATCTAACCGAGTGTTTCTTATATAGCAGGGGTGCTAAAATAGAAACGTGGGATGATGAGATAACACTTTGTAAAAAGAGGAAATGTTCAGAAAAAATCTTGCAGTCAAGCACTGCTTGGTGGTCCCTGTTCTGGTCTGCCACAGCATGTGTGACAATCAAAAGTCAGGGTCAGCTATCTGCTGCTATTCTTCGCAGCATTCCTCAGCCACCATGACCACTTTGTGGAATACTCAGGGGGACTTCTCCAGAAATCTCTGCTTAATATTACCTCCTAATGGAAAGAACTGTGTACATTCAGTTTTTTTTTTAGTGAGGCTATTCTCAAGAATACAATAATAATGGTTCTAGAATCTGACTCGATTATTCTTCCATTTCTCCAGGAATTCTTTCAAATTAAGTATTGCCTAAGAACACAGCTTTGCCATCAAACAGATTTAGCTTCGGTTTCAACTTGGTCTTTGTATTAGTCTGTTCTCACACAGCTATGAAGAAATACCTGAGACAGGGTCATGTATAAAGAAAAGAGGTTTAGTTGACTCACAGCTCCGCACTGCTGGGGAGACCTCAGGAAACTTACAATCATGCCAGAGGGCAAAGGTGAAGCAGGCACCTTCTTCACAGGGCGGCAGGACACAGAGAGTGCAAGAGGGGAAATGCGAGACACTTATAAAACCATCAGATCTCATGAGACTCACTCACCATCAGGAGAACAGCATGGGGGAACTGTCCCCACGATCCAATTACCTCCACCTTTGGTTCGTCCTTGACACATGGGGATTATGGGGATTACAATTCAAGATGAAATTTTGGGTGGGGACCCAGCCAAACCATATCAGTCTTCTTAGGGAAACTAACCTCTCTAAGCCTTTGTTTCTTGACACATGAAACAGGGAAAAGAGTACCTATACTTCATAGAGTTTTTGAGAATTAAATAAAATAAATGAGAACTAAACACAATCAGATGAACCTGTTATATGGTTAGCAAAATGCCTAGGCCTTAATCAATTATCAATAAACTACTATTTTTAGAATTATATTACTATAAACATCCTTCAAAGTTTGCTGGTACCAATACTGACATGCAAATACTAAAAACCACGCAAAAGCCTAAAGAGTACTTTACCAAACACTGAAGATGACATTCCTATATTCAACTCAACTGACAAATTCATATATTAAAATCTGTAAATTCAAGTTTTTCACTAGCAATAATGAATTAAAAGCTCTTCTCAAATTCTGCTCTCTGGACAAGAATCCCCAGTGAACTGACTCAACAGAAACCAAATCATGTGATGCATGACAGGAACATTCAGCATCAACTTCAAAAACTTAAAGAGAAATATAAGTGTTCAAATTGCTTTATGATTCTTGAATTCAAACTTACATGTTAATTTTTTAAAGTAGAATATAAAATTATACCTATATGACCTCAGCTATGAAAAAGTTGCATAAGCACTTTTAAAGTGCTCAGTAAACAGTTAAGTGTTACCACCACTTGGAATTATATAATTAAGTTTCGTTTAGCATCTGCCTCCTACTAGACTCTAAATCCCTGAAGGTGGGGGACCATATTTTTCAGGCATTCAACCCCAAATAACACAGCAAAGGCCAACAAATGTATCTGGTTAAGCATGTAAAAGACACCTGATTTGGGGAGGTGAGATAACTGTGGGTGTAACTTTTATCTTTCCTTTATTTGGAATTTAATTAATGTTACCCAAATTTTGTCTGTATTACAAAAGATTTAATATTTAGAGCAACTTTCAACATGTAGTAGTAGGGTTTGGAAGTGGTAACAAAACCACATTAACAAGTCACTTACAGCTAAGTTATCAAATACTAAAACTTTCCAAGTATGCCTTTCTTAAACAGAAAGAAAAATGAAAAAAGAAAGGTAGTCCCATCTGTGGGTAGTAGAGATGCACAAAAAAATGCCTCCATCACAGTGGTGGTTATCAGTTGTGGTCCTTGCATGATTGGTGCTCTCCAAGCAGTGCTTTGCATGCTCCACGGGCTGAGCAAAATTTGGAATATACTTGTGTTTAGATAATTTCTTGCTCAACACAAAAGCAAGCAAAAAGGGAAGACCTGCTCACTCTGACGTAAATGCCAAAAATAAACAAGTCACACAAGTCCTGAGAAAGAGAAGCATAATTCTCAATTTTTTATAAATTTGGAGATAATCTTTAAAGATGCCCTTTACTCCAAATTGAAAACTAGGAGGTCACTATCCAGAAAAGATAAGAGGCAAAACAAGAAAAACAACAAAACAGAAAACCTCTTTTAATAGTATACCCAATACTTCATTCGTATTACCTTTCTTCACTCCACCCAAGAACCCCTGCCATCATAACCCACATTGTTCCCCTCAAGTATCCTACTGCCTGTAAGGTGGTTCTCAGCAGAAGGGCAGGTCCAGTGAGAAGACACCCAAGTATCACGAAAAAGCTCCCCAGATGACAGCACCAGCCAAAAATCACCTCACTAAAAACAGGAAAACAAAAACTACAAGCGGTCCTCACTTTGCATGGTACCTACATACATGAATTTCAGTTACCATGATTTACTTAAATAACATGAATCTCCCAATGACCCAGGTCAAATTTCAGTTACCACAGCATATTAACTATGAGTAACTGGATAAAGTGTAAACTTCACCACTTGTTCAGTCCACAAATCACAATACAATTAACAGAAATCACTGCCTATTACTCAGTTTACGCACAGACAGCAAATAGTTGTTACCTCATCTCCCAGTAATAAATGCACACGACATTTTATAAAAATAGACAGAAAACTGATGAACAAAGATGAAAATGCAAAAAAAATGAAAAGTGGTAACACAAAGTTAAACAAAAATCAGACATAAATGGTATTAGAGAACAAACAGCTGGCCATGGAAATATTCACACTGCTGTCATTAATCTAGATAAGTAACTAGAAAAAATAAGTGAGAGCAAATTTAACATAAATAAGGAAAGTAGTTGTGATGAAAAGGATGAAAATGTCCCAGACTAAGTTATGTCAGCAAGTCTTCGCATTAAACGAACTCACAACATTGAAAGCACAAAAAATAAAATGTTAGAAGTTGATCCAAACTGAGAAAGCAGTATGACAACTTGCCAAGGCATAAAAAGATGCTTCTTCTATAATACATAATGAGAACACAAGCAAATGTTCAAACTACTGTTGATAAGGTTTTGTCCAAAAAATTAAGTTATTAATGTTTCTAATGTTTTTAATTACAGTGTACTAAATAAACATCAGCTTTGCAATTTTTCCCCTATATATTACAACCAAAGCGTTTTTAATGTTTTGACAAAAATTCTTAGGGTGGGCCAGGTGTGGTGGCTCATACCTGTGACACCTCTTTCTACAAAAAAAATTTTCTAAAAACTGTAAGAACAACATGGGCTGGGCTCAGTGGCTCATGCCTGTAATCTCAGCACTTTGAAGCTGAGTCAGGAGGATTGCTTGAGGCCAGTACTTCAAAACCAGCCCTGGCAACACAGCAAGACCCTGTCTCTACAAAACAAGAAAATTTTTAATTAAAAAATTAGCCAGGCGTGGTTGGTGCATGCCTCTAGTCCCAGCTACTCAGGAGGCTGAGGTGGGAGGATCACTTGAGCAGAGACAGCACCACTGCACTCCAGCCTGGGCAACAGAGGAAGACCTTGTCTCAAAAAAAAAAGAAAAGAACGCACATGAAATGGTTTGGCTCTGGGTCCCCAACCAAATCTCATCTTGAATTGTAGCTCCCATAATTCCCACATGTTGTGGGAGGGGCCTGGTGGGAGGTAATTGAATCATGGTGGCAGGTCTTTCCCATTCTGTTCTGGTGATAGTGAATAAGTCTCACAAGATCTGATGATCTCATAAAGGGGAGTTCTCCTGCATACGCTCTCATCTGCAGCCATGTAAGACGTGACTTTGCTCCTCCTTTGCCTTCTACCATGATTGTGAGGCCCCTCTGCCAGCCATGTGGAACTGTTAGTCCATTAAACCTCTTCCCTTTATAAATTACCCAGTCTTGGGTATGTCTTTATCAGCAGTGTGAGAACAGACTAATACAGGAAATTGGTACCCACAGTAGGGTGCTACTATAAAGATACCTGAAAATGTGGAAGCGACTTCAGAATGGGTAACAAGCAGGGGTTGGAACAGTTTGAAGGGCTCAGAAGACAGGAAGATGTGGGAAAGTTTGGAACTTCCTAGAGACTTGTTGAATGGCTTTGACCAAAATGCTGACAGTGAGATGGACAATAAAATCCAGGCTGAAGTGGACTCAGATGGAGATGAGGAACTTCTTGGTAACTGGAGTAAAGGCCACTCTTGCTATGCAAAGAGACTGGCAGCATTTTGCCCCTGCCCTAGAGATCTGTGAAATTTTGAACTTGAGAGAGATGATTTACAGTATCCGACAGAAGAAATTTCTAAGTGGCAAAGCATCCTAGAGGTGACAAAGCATAAAAGTTTGGAAAATTTGCAGCCTGATGATGCGGTAAAAAAGAAAAACCCATTTTCTGGAGAAAAATTCAAGCTGGCTGCAGAAATTTGCATAAATAACCAGGAGTCAAATGTTAACTGACAAGACAGTGGGGAAAATGTCTTCAGGGCATGTCAGAGACCTTCATGGCAGCCCCTCCCATCACAGGCTCTGGAGGCCTAGGAGGGAAAAAATGATTTCCTGGACTGGGTCCAGGGCCCCCTTGCTGTGTGCAGCCTCAGGACTTGGTGCCCTGTGTCCCAGCCATTACAGCCGTGGCTAGAAGGGGCCAAGGTAGAGCTCAGGCTATGGCTTCGAAGGATGCAAGCCCCAAGCCTTGGCAGCTTCCACATGGTGTTGGTACTGTGGGTGTGCAGAAGACAAGAACTGAGCTTTGGGAACCTCTGCCTAGATTTCAGATGATGTACGGAAACGTCGGGATGTCCAGGCCGAGGTGTGCTGCAGGGGTGGGGCTCTCCTAGAGAACCTCTACTGGGGCAGTGTGGAAGGGAAATGTGGCTGCCCCAGTAAGGAGTCCCCACCAGGTCACCACCTGGTGGAGCTGTGAGAAGAGGGCCACTGTCCTCCAGACCCCAGAATGGTAGATCCACTGACAGCTTGAACCCTGTGCCTGGAAAAGCTACAGACACTGAATGCCAGCCCATGAAAACAGCCAGGAGGGGAGCTGTATCCCACAAAGCCACCATGGGAACCCACCTCTTACAGCAGCGTGACCTGGATGTAAGACATGGAGTCAAAGGAGATGATTTCAGAGCTTTAAGATGTGACTACCCTGTTGGATTTCAGACTTGCATGGGGCCTACAGCCCCTTCATTTTGGCCAATCTCTCCCATTTGCAATGGGTGTATTTACCCAATACCTGTAACCCCATTGTATCTAGGAAGTAATTAACTTGCTTTTCATTTTACAGGCTCATAGGCAGAAGGGACTTGCTTTGTCTCAGATAAGACTTTGGACTGTGGACTTTTGAATTAATGCTAAAATGAGTTAAGACTTTGGGGACTGTTGAGAAGGCATGATTGGTTTTGAAATGTGAGGATAGGAGATTTGGGAGAGGCCAGGGGTGGAATGATATGGTTTGGCTCTGTGTCCCCACCCAAATCTCATCTTGAATTGTAACTCTCATAATTCCAATGTGTTGTGGGAGGGACCTGGTAGAAGGTAACTGAATCATGGGGGCAGGTCTTTCCCTTGCTCTTCTGGTAATAGTGAGTAAGTCTCACAGGATCTGATGGTTTTATAAAGGGGAGTTCCCCTGCAGCACATGCTCTCTTGTCTGCCACTATGTAAGACATGACTTGCTCTTCCTTTGCCTTCCACACAACTGTGAGGCCTCCCCAGCCAAATGGAACTGTAAGTCAATTAAGACTCTTTCCTTTATAAATTACCCAGTCTCAGGTATCTTTGTTAGCAGCATGAGAACAGACTAACACGATGTAATCCTACCACCAAAAATACTTAGTGCTATTTTGGAGTATTTCAATCTGGCTTTTTTTCCCCATGAATGGAATAGGTTTTAACATAGCTTTAATTAGGTACAAGCAAATATACATACATGCAATGTTTTTCTCTTAATTTTATCTCATAAGCATTTTCCATGTAATTATAGTACATTCTCTTCACAAGCACTATTTTTTATGGCTGCAGACTAGTCCAAGAAATGGGTTTCCCATTGTTTGTCTAATTCTTCCCCTCTGTCCCATGTTTTAGCAGCTTCTTACTGTCTTCACTGAGTTAAATGTTATTTATATAAATATCTTTAGGTTGCTAATACATAGTTCCAGTTGCTTTCCTAAAAGTATGCACTGATCAATGTACTCTTTGAGGATTTTGTTTCTGGATACCCCACTCTGTGCTCCAAATGATAACTAACATCCCAGAGGCTCTCCACTTATTCAATCCTCTTCATGAAGCTTTAGGAAGGGAGCATTTCAATGTCTGCTACTTGCCAGGCTCTGCTCTGTGTGTTTAATGTTACCTCATTTAATTCTTCAAATCCAAGTTTCAAGACTTCAGCAATCATCTAGGCTTTTCATTCAAAGTAGTACTGAGTGCTTACCTAGTGCCAGGTACTGGTAAAAGAGTAGTAAGCAAAACCAAACTCCCTCAGGAGTGTTCACTGTGTCTCAAACGCACTCCAAGACATTAAAAAGTAGCCACTCCATTTCCGTACTACTCTGATAATAAAACATTTCAATGGCTTCCATTACACTACAAATGAAATCCAAATTATTTTCCCTAGCCCATAAAGCCCCACCTCAGCTGGCTTTGCCTACCCCTCCCATACCAACCCCTGCCATGCTATCCTTACCCATTAGGCCTCACCACTTGAAAACTCTAAGCTCTTTCCACTTGAGCCATTCCCCATGACTGAACCTCCCACTCTGATCATCAAAAATTCAAGCCCCTTCCTATCTTTTAGGTCTTAGCTGAAATGTTACCACTTCGTGGCTTTCCTTGGTCACTCCATCTAAGAGGTTCACCAATATTTGCCTACTCTGTCGCATCTTCAGTTCATTTCTTTCATAGCACTTATTCATTGCAACTGTTTTATCTGCTGGCCTTTCTTCCCTACTTGAAATGGGGTTATCTGCCACTGTATCTACAAAGCCTACCACAATACCCAGTGGGCAGAATAGATGGAAGAAAAATTGTGTGCTGAATGCATAAATAAAATGTTTTTCCTTTACCTGGAATGAAATCTAGTTTCTTGAAACTTCCACCTATTGATTCTAATTTTACCCTCTATAAATACATTGGGAAAAAAGTATACTTTACTGCATGTGTATCATACTTTAATTAAGTATATACTAAATCCATTCTTTTGTTAACTGCAGCACTCACCTGTGTTTTAGCAATTGCAACCTTTGCTGACTTCGGAGAGTATCAAGAAGCAGATAAGGGCACGACTCCCAGGTGACATCACCTGGGTTGGAATATGAGCTCCAATACTTACACAGACGAAATGGATCTCACTTGTGTGATTTTGAACTAGTTATCTAATCTCTTGGTATCCCACTTCCCTCATTTGGAAAATTAGGATAAGAGTTCAATTATTGTGAGAATTAAATGGGATAATGTATGTAAAGAGCTTACCCCAGTTCCTGGCACAGGAATGTTAGCTGACAAACTACTGCTGCTGTGTCACCAGCTAGACAGGAAAGCTCCTTAAAAGCGGTAACATTGGCCAGGCGCCGTGGCTCACGCCTGTAGTCCCAGCACTTTGGGAGGCCGAGGCGGGCGGGATCACGAGGTCAGGAGATCGAGACCATCCTGGCTAACACGGTGAAACCCCGTCTCCACTAAAAACCCAAAAAATTAGCTGGGCGTAGTGGCGGGCACCTGCAGTCCCAGCTACTCGGGAGGCTGAGGCAGGAGAATGGCGTGAACCCGAGAGGTGGAGCCTGCAGTGAGCCGAGATGGCGCCACCACACTCCAGCCTGGGCGAAGAGTGAGACTCCTTCTCAAAAAAAAAAAAAAAAATCAGTAACATTATTTCTTTATATTTCTAAGACCTACCTTATACAAGTTTCAACAAATCTAGATTTAAAGCTATCATCCTACAAGTCTGGCTAAGACATCCCTACTTCCATATATTCCCCTAACACCCTGAACCTAGCCCACCTGTTATTTATCCCAACAGTCATTTTACTATTTTGTCTCTAACACCTGACCCTTAGGAGCAGGTCTATCTTGTTCACCATGTTATCCTCAACACCTGCAACACCAAAATTCGATAATTAAGTGACTAAATCACTGTGGGCCTCCATTTTCCCTATGAAAATCATTTTAAAAATTATTTGTCTGTCTCTGCCCATTCCACACAATGAAAACGTAGGCAGCCAAACTCTGTTTTGTTAACTGCTGTATCTAGTATCCTCTACCAGACGCTCCAAAATATTTGGTAAAGGACTTTTTTTTCTGTTAATTCATGTTGATTCTCGTAGTTTTCTGCTACGGAATTAAATACTAAGCCTGTTTATTGACTCCGCAGCGTTCCCGATGAGCTATGTGTGCTCACCAATATTTCTCCAAAGCCTAGGCTTGGAGCAGAAATAGCAGATTATGTATTGAATGAACAGAAGGACATGTCATTTTCTAAGACTGAAAAGAGATGCAGCAAAATGAGAAACGTAGTATTGAATAGAAGGGCTGGGAGCGATGTGAGTAAGGTTTTTGTTGTTGTGTTACATACATTTCTTTAATTCCCAAGATCTCTAGAGTAGTTACACTATTTAATGAAAGAGTAGTTAACAGTGTATAATAGAAGCTCTTTTTTAAGTAAATGAGGGTGCAAAAGACAATGACTCACCTTCCTTCCCCCACCTGGCTCTTATGACCTGGCAGTACAGACATAGCCTTAACACCTGGCCCGCCGGTGGCCTGGGAGCCTCGTGCTCCCTCTCAGACCTGGCTGCCAGTAACCCGAGGACAGTCCAGCCCGCAAAACCGGAAGAAAACCAGTGCAGAGAACGCCCGCGGGCTCCAATGCCGGACGCCGGCACTCTGAGCAACCCACCCCACCGCCCCGCACTCACCACCAGCGCTGCCACGAACCCCGGCCGGTCCATGGTCGCTCAGACCTCGTCAAGGCTACAATCCAAGCCGGAGCAGAAGCGGATCACGTCCTCGCGCGCTGGGCGCCGCCATGTTTGAGGCGGGTCTGTCTTGAACTTCCGGGACCACGTGACGTAGAACCACAACAACTGCACGTGCAACGCGAGACACCTGGGCCTAGGGGAGGGCCAGAGAGGAGGGGCGGGGCCTCGGGGAGTGTGGTGGAGCTAAGTCTCGGCAAATCCCTTACCTCGGTTTCCTGCAGCAGCGTTGTGTGCAGCTAGACGGAGGAACTTTCGCGAGCAAAAGATCCGTGGCCGAGATCCAGGAGAGAGCAGCGGTAGAATGAGGCCGGCGTGATTCTGAACTGTAAACCCAGAAGAGGCGTGGCTGTGGCGGAGGGAGGAGTCGTGAGGGGTAGTACTAACCTCGGGAGGCGCGATTCGGGATCCTAATCGGATATTTCATTTTGGTTTATCTCTTAGTTTTGTCAAAAAATTTTATCTGAGTTTATATTAAATTAACTCATTATCAGAAGATTATTAAATAAAGATATAGAAAAATACATCAGAAGTTTCCTGACCGGAGTTAAAAATTAGCATCCTCCATTTCTCTTTACAGAGTTACTGCATTTAAAATTATTTGTTTGTTCAGTTATTTACCTGCTCATGTTGTTCGCTGTTGTACTCATGTGTACACCTCAAAGCACACGTTATTAAGTACTTAATAACATTTCTTGGAGTGGACCTGTCTTTATTAAACAAACAAATACCTTGTAAACTTCTGTATATATTAAGGGCCAACTACATCTCAGACGTGGTGCTAAGTGATTGACAGACATTTTTTCATTTAATCCTTTCACCAACCCTATGATGTCAGCAACACTAGTGTCCTCATTTTACAGAGGCTCCTGATGCTCCAACAAGTAACCGACTCAATGTGGCTACAGAGAACACAGCAGAGCAAGCACTGAAAATATACTTAATGCCCTCATCATCTTTCCTCAAAACCGTTATAATAACCTGAGCAGGCTCCTTGCCTGGCCTTTCTTCAATCCCTATTCTATAACACTGCTAGAATTATTCTTATAATTATTCTTATTCTCTTCTAGGTAAAATGATCTAGAAATGATACGCAGAATAGCTTTAGGTGTTAGATGGAATTCAAATTCTATCACCTGCTGGGTTTGGGGATAAGTTTTCCAAGATTAAGTTTTCTCCCCTGTAAAGTGGCGATAATGATAGTCACTTTGTCATGCGGTACTATTATATTAATAGATTAAATGAGATAATGCACTCAAGTTCTTAGCCTAGTTCCTGGCTCATAGAAAGTACTCTCTAAAGGTGATGGTAATGTTATTTCCCTGCTTACAACTCCCCTCTGCTGCCAATGGAGACAGTCCAGCTCCCTAGCATGGTATACACCTCTCAGCTGGTGTCTCCTGTCACTCTTCCCACTAGCCGGACTACACACAGACAGACTATACACTTCCAAGCCTCCTAATTTTGCCCATGTTGTTCTCTCTACCCAGAATACCTTTCCCTAAGCTGCCTGTAGGCCCTCTCAAAACATGCTAGTTCACTTTGTCAATGCCAGCAGAAGAATCTCTGTTGCTGCTATTAATGTCTTTCAAAGTCTCATGTGCTTTGGTCAGGCCTACCCAGGATAATCTCCATTTTTATTAACTCAAAGTCAACTGATTAGAGACCTTAATTATATCTGAAAAATTCCTTTTGCCATACGTGACAACATAATCATGGTGGTAATGTTCTGTCATACTCACAGGTCCTGCTCACAATCAGTGGGGTGATTATGCAAAACACATTAGGGGCCAGGAATCTTGAGGGCCACCTTAGAATCCTGCCTACTTCACATTCCTATAAACCCTCACCGGCAGCCTCCTCAAAGGCCATCAAGTTTCTATTAATAAGCTTTCACTGACATTTCCCTCACAGTCTTCCCACCTTTCACCTACTGCCTGGTGCCAATGGCACTCCCACAGTTTAGGAATTACAGTAGCGCCCACCTCCAAGTACCAAAATCTGTATTATTTGTCTATTTCTGCGTAACAAATTACCCCCAAAATTTAACAGACTAAAGCAACGATAAACTTCTATTACCTCACACAGTTTTCATACGTCAAGAATCAAGGAGTCATTTAGCTGGGTGTTTAAGACTCAGAAATTTTCATGACACTACAGTCAAGATGGTGGCCAGGGCCATATCATAAAACTTGATCATGACCGCAGGATCCAATTCCAAGATGGCTCACTCCCATAACTGGCAGATTAGTGCTAGCTATTGGCAGGTAGCCTTAATCCCTCATGGCATACATCTCTCCATAGTACTGCTTGAGTGTCTTCATGATATAGTAGCTGGTTGTTCCTAGAGTAAGTGGTCTGAAAGAGAACAAGACAGAAACTACAAAGTCTCTCATGACCTGTTCTCATAAATTACTCAGTTGTCATTCCAGCAATAGTCTATTGTTTACACAGGTAATCGACATTTATTATGGGGCTGGACTACCCAAAAGCCTAAATACCGGAAGATGAGGATCACTGGGTGCCATCTTGGAAACTGGTTACCACATCAGGGAAATGCCGGTGAACACCACAATGAGATATGAATACACTAGAACTCACTAGAGTGGCTAAAATTAAAAAGCCAAGTGTTGACAAGGATGAGAAGCAACTGGAAATCTCATACATTGCTGTTTCGAATTTTATATGGTACAACCATTATAAAATCCAATGCCACACTTAGGTATTTACCCGAGAGAACTAAACATTTATACAAATACTTTTACATTATATTTCAAAGCAGCTTTATCCATAATAGTCAAAAACTGAAAACAACCTGAATGTCTATCAACTGGTGGTATAAACATATTATGATACATCTTTATAATGGAACATCACTCAACAATAAACGGACATGAATTACTGATATATGAAACAACATGGATTAATCTGAAAGCATTATGCTATGTGAAAAAAAAAAGACCACATGTATTGTGATTCCACTTACGTGAAATTCTGGAAAAGACAAAATTATAGTGACAGAAAGTATATAAATGCTTTCCAGGCGGTGGAGGTAGAGGCAAAGTATTGACTATGAAGTGGGCACAAAACAATAGTTTGCAATGATGAAGATATTCTCTTGTTATTATTGTGGTAGTAGTCGCATGGGTGTGTACATTTACTAAAACGCATTGACTTGCACAATTAGAATGGTTGTACTTAGTATATATAAACTATAAGGCTGGGCGCCGTGGCTCATACCTGTAATCTCAGCACTTTGGGAGGCCAAGGTGGACGGATCACCTGAGGTCAGAAGTTTGAGACCAGCCTGGCCAACACAGTGAAGCCCTGTCTCTACTAAAAATAGAAAAAATTAGCTGAGTGTGGTGATGCGCGCCTGGAGTCCCAACTACTCAGAAGGCTGAGGCAGGAGAATCGCTTGAACCCGAGCGGTGGAGGTTGCGGTGAGCTGAGATTGTGCCACAGCACTCCAGCCTGGGTGACAAGAGCAAGACTCCATCTCAAAAAAAAAAAAAGTATATGTAAATTATAGCTCAATAAAGTTGATTAAAATATTACTATCTCGCAGGATGATGAGGAATAAATAATATATGCACAGAAAGTTTTAGTCCAGTGCTTGTCATATAGAAATATTCGGTTTATTCCGTATTTTCCTATTTAAGTTAGAGATTCTGAATATTATGAATGAGAGACTGATAAGTTATCAAGGTGCATAAGTACTTTGTGATACATACTACTATAGCCTCCTAAGTGAAAATAAATCTTATTTCTAGCTACTAATGTTCCTGGAAGTTTTTGATGTAATTCCTTCCCTAAGAGAAAATTTAACCTAGACTTATACCTTTAATTTTGATTTAATACATCCTTTGAAGTAAAATTAAGAAAAAAATTCCTTTCCTCTTCAATGCAATGGTTGTCTTTAACTTTGCAAGAAAAAATTGTGTTGATGTCATTTTCTGGTAACTTGGAGGGAAATGTAATTTATCAGGTATCTTTCAGAATCAAGAAGAAATACATAGTCTCTCCTTTTATGCAAGGTAAAGGCTTTACCAGGTATTTCATGATACCACTGGAATCCTTTTAGGAAATACAGATATTACAAACATGACCTAGGGCTTCCTTTTCATGAAATGCTAGCAGAAAGACTCATTACTACTTGTGCATGCTTTTTAAATGGAGTATTTCAATGCATCATCATTATCACCACATTGCAGGCAGCATATGTTCTCAAATCTTTCATTTTAAAAGATACAGGCAATGTGGTAAGCACTGATTTGCATTACACATGTGATATTATAATAATCCTGTCTTTCTCACTTAAATCTATCACTGTAAGCCAAGTTTTCTTTTAAACAAGCTCTAAAATCTTAATAGTATTTATAAAAATTAGCAAGAAACCAAAGACATAGCTCAAAAAATAATTTAAGCCTAGCACAAAAAAAAAAACAAAAACAAAAAACAAGGACATAATCTTCAACCAGGACTAGGCTTAAGTTCCAAGCCCCGTTACTGTTTTGTTTGTTGTTGTTGTTTTTTGTTTATTTGTTTGTTTGTTTTAAGACAGGTTCTTGTCCTGTTGCCCAGGCTGGAATGCAGTGGTGCCATCTCGACTCACTGCAGCCTCAACCTCCGGGTTCAAGCAATCTTCCTGCCTCAGCTCCTCAAGTAGGTGGGACTACAGAGGCATGCCACAACACCTAGCTAATTTTTGTATTTTTAGTAGAGATGGGGTTTCACCATGTTGCCCAAGCTTGTCTTGAACTCCTGAGCTCAAGCGATCCACCCACCTCAGCCTAGAATTATAAGTGGGAGCCACTGCGCCCCATTCCATGTTACTGATTTTTATTGAAAAATACGATAGTATTTGTTAAGATCTGAATGTGTCCCCCAAAATTCATGTGTAGAAACTTAATCGCCAGTGTGATAAGAGGTGGGGCTTTTAGGAGGCAATTAGGTCATGATGGCTCCTCCCTTGTGAATATGACTAAAGTCTTCGTAAAAGAAGCTTCACAAAGTATTCAATCAGCCTTTTTTCCCTTCCACCTTTTGCCACCTGAGCACGTAAGGATACTGTTCAAAAGTACCATCTTGGAAGCAGGAACTGGGCCCTCCCCAGACACCGAATCTGCCAATACCTTGACCTTGGACTTCCCAGCCTCCAGAATTTTGAGCAATACATTTCTGTTCTTTACAAATTAACTAGTCAGTGGTATGTTGTTATAGCAGCACAAATGGATTAAGACAACAGTTAGAATCATTTTCAATAAAAATATTCCTGGAACTATTTCAATCCATCTGCAAAGGGTAGTAAATATATAAAATGGAAAGAAAGTCAAATGAAAAAATTTTAAAGGCCTGTTTGAAAAGTCAGTTTTCCTTTAAGTGATAGAATCAACAGAGTACCAGTCATATGGCTTTATGTTTGCATTTAAAATTAGTGAGAGAGAAAAAGATGACTCTTTCAATAAATGCTTTTGGGACTATCAGCTAACCATTTAGAAGAAAATAATGTTTGATCTCCATCTTACGCTTTGCCTCCTAAAACGGTTACATATTTTTTCATTGATATAATTAAACTATTAAAATAGTACTGAATCACAGAACTGTGTGAGACTGAGGTAGGAGGATCACTTGAGTCCAGGAATTCAAGACCAGCCTGGGCAACATGGGGAGACCTTGTTTCTACAAAAAATAAAATAATTAGTCATGCACAGTGGCACATGCCTGTGGTCCCAGCTAGTCGGGAGGCTGAAGCAGGACAATCATTTGAGATAAGAGGTCAAGGCTGTAGTGAACCGTATTCATGACACTGCATTCCAGCCTGGGTGACAAAGCAAGACCCTGTCTCAAAAAATAAAAATAAATTTTAAAATTAATAATAATAATAGAACAAAAAGGTAAACATTTTACATTTTTGTTTTTGTTTTTTGTTTGTTTGTTTGTTTTTGAGACAGAGTATCTCTCACCCAGGCGGGAATGTAGTGGCGCTCTCTAGGCTCACTGCAACCTCTGCCTCCCAGGTTCAAGTGATTCTCCTTCCTCAGCCTCCCAAGTAGCTGGGATTACAGGCACCTGCCACCATGCCCGAATTTTTGTATTTTTAGTAGAGATGGAATTTCAGCACGTTGGCCAGGCTGGTCTGGAACTCCAGGCCTCAAGCCATCCGCCCACCTCAGCTTCCCAAAGTGCTGGGATTACAGGCATGAGCCACCGTGCCTGACCAAGGTAAACATTTTTCTATTCTTGAGATAAAGAAACATCTTCTATGTCTCAAAAAAAAAATTTCAGTTAATAGCTTTGTTATTAAAAATTAAAATTAAAATAAATTTGACAGGGAAAATATGTGCAATGTATATAATCACATCAAATTTTTAAGTGTAAATAGTTCCCATAACTCAACAGAAAAACACTAATACCAATAGAAAAAAATGAGTAAAGATCACAAAAGTAGAAATACAAATAGATAATGAACATGTTAAAAAATATTTTTCAATTCATTAGTAACATCGAAATGAAAATTAAAACACCAACAAAGCATATTTTTTAACATTTTAAATAGGCAAGGATTTTTTTCTAGAGGGAGAGTTGGAGCAACTTTTCTGGTGAGCAATGTGGCCATATGTAATAAAATCTTAATGTGAGTCAGTTTTGCATCGTTATAAAGGAATACTTTAGGTTGTGTAACATATAAAGAAAAGAGGTTTATTTGGCTCACGGTTCTGCAGGCTGTACAAGTATGGCACCAGCATCTGCTTGGCTTCTAGTGAGACCTCAGGAAGCTTTTATTCATGGCAGAAGGTGGGGTGGGGGTAGGCATGTCACATGGTGAGAGAGGTAGAAAGATAGCTGCCAGGCTCTTTTTAACAACCAGCTCTCATGTGAACTCATTACTGTGGAGATGGGGCCAAGCCATTCAAGAGGGATCCACCCCCATGACCCAAACACCTCCCACCAGGCTCAACCTCCAACACTGGGAATCACATTTCAACATGAGATTGGGAAGGGACAAACATCCAGACCATATCAAACCGTAAACTCTGACATTTCTGGGGATTTTTGCATTACTGATCATTTTTAATGAATAATTACTTTTTTTTGAGACAGATGATCATTTTTAATGAATAATTACCTTTTTTTTGAGATGGAGTGTCACTCTGTTACCCAGATTGGAGTGCAGCGTTAAGACCTCAGCTCACTGCAACCTCTGCCTCCTGGGTTCAAGTGATTCTCCTGCCTCAGCCTCCCAAATAGTTAGGACTACAGATATTGTGGGTAGGAGCAATGAACAGGTGAAGCACAGAGAATTTTTTGGCAGTTAAACTATTTTGTATGATGCTATAAGGGTGGACACATGTTATTATATGTTTGTCCAAATCCATAGAAAGTACTACACCAAGAGTGATTAACCTAATGTAAACTGTGGATTTGGGGTAATGATGTTTCAATGCAGGTCCATTGATTGTAACAAATATACCCCTCTGGTAAAGAATATTGATAATGTCATAGGCTGTGCATGTATGGGGGCAGAGGATATATGAGAAATCTCCGTACTTTCTGCTCAATTTTGCTGTGACTATAAAATTTCTCTAAAAAAAATTACATTAAATATATATATTTTAAAAGAAAGTCATTTTACTAGGCTTTTTTTTTTTTTTTTTTTTTTTTTTTGAGACAGAGTCTTGCTCTGTTTCCCAGGGTGGAGTGCAGTGGCATGATCTTGGCTCATTGCCACCTCCACCTTCTGGGTGCAAGTGATTCTCCTGCCTCAGCCTCCCTAGTAGCTGGGATTACAGGTATGGGCTACCACACCTGGCTAATTTTTGTATTTTTAGTAGAGATGGGGTTTCACCACGTTGGCCAAGCTGGTCTTGAACTCCTGACCTCAGGTGATCCACCCACCTCGGCCTCCCAAAGTGCTGGGATTACAGGCGTGAGCCACCGCGCCTGGGCTGCGCCAGGCCTAGTTCTTGAAATTCCCAATGGTAACATTCCTTAGTCACGTTTTATCCTCCTTTTATCCAGGGAGGATAGAGGAAAGGAAAGGATAGAAGGAAAGAAGGAAAGGACAGTAAAAGGAAAAAATAAAAGTAAGATGATTTAAGAAAAGGAAAAGATTGTGTCCCTCTGCTCCATGTTTAACAGATACTTTTTCTACAACCGAATGTCAATCGGCAAATGAATGGGTACACAAAATATGGAATGTACATTTATACATATGGTAGAGTATTGTTTACCCTTAAAAAGGAAGAAGATCCTGGCACATGCTACAATGTGGATGAAACTTGAAGACATTATGCTAAGCAAAATAAGCCAGTCACAAAAAGACCAATATTATATGATTCCATTTAGGTGAGATGTCCAGAGTAGTCAAATTTATAGAGATAAAAGTAGCATGGTGGTTGCCAGGAGCTTAGGGGAGGGGGAAATGGAGAATTCAATGGATACAGTATTGAATTGTTCATTGAATTGTTCAATGGATACAGTATATCCCCCTTATCCATGGGGGATACATTTCAAGATTCCCAGTGGGTGATGCCTGAAACCTCAGAAAGTACTGAACCCTATGTATACTAGGTTTTTTTCCTATACATATATACTGATTATGAAGCTTAATTTATAAATTAGGCACAACAATAATGAATAATAAAATATGAATTGGCACATTGGCTTGCATTTGTAATCCTGGCACTTTGGGAGGCCGAGATGGGAGGACTACTTCAAGCCAGGAGTCTGAGGCCAGCTTGGGCAATAAAGCAAGGCCTTGTCTCTATGAAAAAAAAAAAAATTTATTAACCAGGCATGGTGGTGTGCACCTGTAGTCCCAGCTCCTCAGGAGGCTGAGGTGGGAGGATCACTTGAGCCCAGGAGTTTCAGGCTGCGGTTAACTATGATTGCACCAGTGCACTCCAGCCTGGACAACAGGACACCCAGTCTCCAAAAAATAATAACAATAAGTAGGACAATCATAACAATATACTGTAACAAAAGTTATGTGAATGTAGTCTCTCACTCACTCACTCTCTAAAAATACCCTAACATTTTTGGACTGCGGTTCGGTTCACTCGGTAACTGAAATCACAGAAAGTGAAACTGCAGATAAGGGGAGATTGTTACAGAGTATCAGTTGGGGAAGATGAAAAAATTCTTGAGATCTATAGTAGTGATGGTTGCTCATGTACATTGAGCAGCAAATGTACTTAATGCTACTGAACTGTACGCTTAAAAATGGTTAAAATGGTCATTTTTATGTTATATTTTACAACAATAAAAGACATACTTTTTCTTCAGAAGAGATGGAATGCATTTAAAATATTTGATTTCAAAAATGAAATGCTTGTGAAACATTTGTGAAATTTCTCAGTCTCACAGAAAAGCTGACATATGCAATGTTCTTACTTTTTTTCTATTTTTAATTTTTTCTCTCAACTGGTCACATCACAGCAACATTCCTTAATCAACCAATAATCAAAGCTCTCTCCTCCCCCTTCAATGCCATTTTGTTTTGTTAAGTAAGAGTTTCTGGATGGAAAGACCGGGGGAGGCAGCAATAAGTGCAAGCTATATTAAGAGCCGCAAGACCCCAGGTAATTTCCCAGTACGGAAAAGTTTAAAAGAATAATAGGGATTTGAATTTCCATTCACCGGCTCCCTCACGATTACGTGCCACTTTCAGGCTGTTTGCCATTTTTTACCTTTCTCATTGCAAACCTTCCAAAGAGCTTCAGGGCACTGTGGTCTTTTTGTTTATTACCTTCTGTCAAACAAACAGCAGGCCTCCACTCCAAAGGGCACAACCCCTCTATTCTTCTGAGCTACCATTGTGTGTCCTAAATGAACACAGTCCGCTTAATGCTACAGGTCGAACATCAATATTCTTGAACTGTCCCCAGGTGAATCCCCTCTTAGAGTTCAAGGATCTCTTGTAAAAGATGAGTGAATACATTTGTTTTGTCATTTCTCAGATCCAATGGTGCTGATATAGCAAAATAGCCACCATTCCCCAAATAATTACAAGAGGACATGGTCATGTTACCAGCTGTCCAGTAATGTGCCATGCAGGTGCAGTGCCACAGCCTCTATTAATTTTTAGTTCTGTGCTATTCACATGTTTTATTTCTCAGTAGACATATGTTTGCTTTTAGCCTGAGTGATCTGGCCCCTGACTGTTGCCTCACCTTCATAGCTCGCCAGTCACGTCTCCTTGCTGACAAACCTTTGGCGATACTCAGCTTTTTGCTAACTCAGATGAGTCGAGGCCGGGCGCAGTAGCTTGCGCTTGTAATCCCAGCATTTTGGGAGGCTGAGGTGGGAGGGTTGCTTGAGCCCCAGAGTTCAAGACCAGCCTGGGAAACATGGCAAAAGCCCATCTTTACAAATAAATACAAAAATTAGCCTCGCATGTTGGCCTGCTTCTATAGCCCCAACTACTCGAGAGACAGAGGTAGGAGGATTGCTTGAGCTGGAGGTCAAGGCTGCAGTGAGCAAAGATCACACCACTGCACTCCAGCCTAGTGACAGAGTGAGACCCCCATCTCAAGAAAAAAAAAAGAGTCACAGTTGTCCATACCTTCAGCCTCAGGACATTTGCATATGCCAACCCCCACTCCCACATTTCTCATTATCCTTCACTGACAGTTCAACTTAATGTGGTTTCCTAAGGGAGACTGTCTTTTCCAGTTCAACTTAATGTGGCTTCCTAAGGGAGATTGTCTTTTCCTTCACATCACCCCACTCCAGCTTTTGTCCCATAGCATCATATTTTTTCCCCAGAACTTATTGCAATCTATAATTCTAGATTTGTGGGCTGATGTTATTAATATCTGTCTCCACCACTAGATTATAAAAATGTGTGAAGACAGAGACAATGTCTATCAAGTTTGCCACCGAATACTCAGTCCCAGATACATCATATAGGCTCAATTGCTGGAATAGAAAAGGGAGAAGGAGGGAGGAAGGAGGAAGTGAAGGAGGCCATACATAGTTGCATCTTTAGCTCCATAACAAAGCTGATGTGCATCAGGAAGGTCCAATAGGCATCCGAAACTCCTAAAAGCCTATGCTAGGGGATTGGTATTGCTATAGACATCTTCAGGGTACTCTTTCCCCCAGGAAACTACTGCATATATATATATATATATATATATATATATATATATATATATATATATAAATAGAGAGAGAGAGAGAGGAGTATATATATATGTGTGTGTATACACACCTCTCTCTATATATAAGGTGTGTGTGTGTGTATAGATACACCTTTATATAGGTGTGTATATATATATATACCTTTATAGATATACCTATAAAAGTTGTATATATATATCCATACCAATATATACCTATAAAATATATATATCTATATATTTATATATACCTATATATACCTATAAAATATATATATTTATATATATCTATAAAAGGTATATATATATAAAATAGATATATAGGTGTGTATATATATACCTTTTATATATATATGCCTATACTTTTATACGTATATAAAAGGTATATATATATACCTTCTATATTTTGATAGACAAAACACAAAGAATATATAACTATATACCCATATAAAAGTATATGTATACACCTTTATATATATATACACCTTTATATATATATCTTTATGTGACTATATATAGATATATATACATATACACATATACATACATATAGATACATGTACATATGTATATATATACATACAGATATATATACATATGTATATATACATACATATAGATATATATGTATATATACATACATATAGCTATATATTATATATACATACATATATACACACATATATATACACCTTTATATGGGTATATCGTTATATATTCTTTGTGTTTTGTCTGTCAAAATATAGAAGTTATATATATATATATCTTTATATACCTATAAAAGTATAGGTATATATATATATAAAAGGTATATATATCTTTTTGTGTATATATATATATATATATATATACATCTTTATATGGGTGTGTGTGTGTATATATATATATATATATATATATACACCTTTATATGGGTGTGTATATATATATATACCTTTATATGGGTACATAAATATATATATATATACACACCTTTATATGGGTATATATATATAAATGTATATATATGTGTATGTATATATACACATTTATATATATATACCCATATAAAGGTGTATATATATATATATACACACACCCATATAAAGGTATATATATATATGTACACCCATATAAAGGTATATATATATACCCATGTAAAGGTGTGTATATATATACCCATATATATATATACACCCATATAAATATATATATACACCCATATAAATGTGTATATATATATACCCATATAAATGTGTATATATATATACCCATATAAATGTGTATATATATATATATACCCATATAAAGGTGTGTGTGTATATATATTATATATATATCTATATACTTTTTTTGAGGTTTAGAGCAGAAATTAAATAGGCGAAAGAAGCAGAATAGCTCTCTGCTACAGGGAGGGTCCCGGAAAAGTGGGTTGTCCTGCTCCTATATTTTTGACAGACAAAACACAAAGAATGTCAACTTGAATGTTTTTCTGGCAAGAGGGCATGTGAAATCCATGTGGCAATCTCTTTCCTAATTTCCCTGATCAGGGCCTTTTCCCGAGTTCACTGACATTGGCCTGCCATGATTTCCTTTAAAAAAAAAGGTTCTCTCAGAGACATAACTGATTCCAACTAGAGCAATGATAAATCAGTTCTGTTGTGATCCAGTTGGCAATAAATTGGCCATTTCACAAGAGCAGAAAATCATCTCTCTTTTTAAAAGTCATTATGATGAACAATGAAACTCTATGGTGCTTGCAGAAGTAAAATAGGAAGATTTAAAAAAAATCTAGATTTTTATTTTAGTAAAGCTTAAGAGAGAATGATTAAAAATAAAAGTTTCCAAAACGTGAGAATACCATTGACTAATCGCTTGGAAATGGAGTCATTTTTCTGTAGCAATTTAACTATATAAAGTCTTTTTCCATGCAATATATAAGTTGCCATCAGTTAGTATTTAGAGAACACTGTGCTTGCATAAGTGCTCACAGTTTACTTTGTTCTAGTGTATAATGGATATTTAACCCACAAGAATGCTACCTCTATCTTGCTGATAAACTGTCTCAACAATTGGGTAATAGCAATAGTACATTGTCTATTATACCACCTTTCTTTTCCACTTCTATTTCTTAATTTCTGCAATTTCCTGTAAAAGAAAGATTAGATGGGCAAGAAAATTGGCACAAGCGTTACAAGAAAGATTTAAAGTTGAGAAATACATTTCTAAAATATATACTGTGTGCCTATCTTGTCTCTCAAGTATTCTACAATTAAGACTACTTTGTAATGAGAAAATAATTTAGTTTTAACTATGCATTTGTTTACATTAAAATTTATAGCATTTGTCAGTTACTTTGGGCAGGAATTTAGAGATGAGGTCCATTGTTTCATAAGCATTGTATTCTTTTTCATCCAAATTTATATACAATGTTGTGAGTAAAATCAATCAGGCCTGGGCTGAACAAAGACTTGCCTTTAAAACAAGTTTGGAGTCTGTCTTCCCATAATACTGTCTCATTGGAAATTAAGATTATCTTAATATATAATACAATGATCAAATGGAGATTAAGATATATGTGGATGGTTATACCTGGCTTGTTTGCCGTGAAACCCCTAATTGTTGGAACTGCACCAAGAGTGGAAGACCCATGAACTGGACTAGTATGGTCTAAAGGATGGGGGGGATAACTGAGGCTGTAGCTTCTCTGTGTTAAAGTGACACACCATACCTTGTTTGAGGCAGCTAGACATGACTTACGTAGGTGAGGCGGGTACTTGGGTAGCATTTGGGTCTCCTAACAAGGCACAGATACCATACATGTGGTCCTGTATCCATCTAAAAAGCTAAGAAAATATCGTATTAGGTTTTAAAGCCTACCGAGTCTTTTGAGTCTGATCGCCACATAGAACCTGTAACTAGGCCAGGTGAGGTGACTCACACCTGTAATGCCAGCACTGTGGGAGGCCAAGGCAGACAGATGACTTGAGCCCAGGAGTTCAAGACCAGCACCTCCCCCGCCAGGCAACATGGCAAAACTCCGTGTTAAAAAAAAAAAAAAAAAAAAAGAAAGAAAGAAAAATTAGCCAGGGGTGGTAGTGCATGCCTGCAGTCCCAGCTACTTGAGAGGCTGAAGTGGAAGGATGGGAGGATTGCTTGAGGCCAAGAGGTGGAGGTTACAATGACTACTGGAGTGCATGCCACTACACCCCAGCCTATGCAATACAGCAAGACTCTGTCTAAAAAAAAAAAAAAAAGAACCTGTAAGTACTGCTTGCTGAGCGATGCAAATATGTTAACTGAAATCTTCTTTATTCTGAAATGTCCTCTGTCTAATGCTTTATAATAATTTACTTACTCTCCCAAAAAATAATACCTACCCTTCAAAAGAGGATTTTCTTATAAAAGAAACAGTATGTACAGCCTTGCAGATTGTGCATTACATGGCTCCAAGGGATGCCAATTATACAGACATCCCTGTGAATGTGCTACAGATTTTTCATTGCCCAGCTCCAGGCAGTAATAATTACAATACAGTCTATGTACTTGGCAGTCTTTGGGCTTAAATGGTGCACAACTGGCTAATCCTAAATAGCCATATGTGGCAGCCCTGGATCTACCTCAGTATGAAGTTTGTTGGTTCCAAAATGGACCCTGCCTCGAGGTAGAGAAAGTAGGATTTTTTAGTAGATGTTGCAGATACACTGCCCCGTATCTGCTTGGCTCGCCTGCATTGACGTACAGTTATGGCGGACAGTCCCTGGCACACTGAAAACATCCCAACATAGGAATTAGTGTCTCTTGTTTTCTCTACCTGAGCCCTCTCTCTTGCACCATGGGAAGTTTGCAGGCACAACTGAGCTATGTGGGTGTATACTCATAAATATCCCAGCCTTCCCTCTGATGGGGATATTTTGTATATGTTTCCAGTAGTTTCTCAGAGGTTCCCAGGAAGATTGAGACATAGTTGCTTACAGCACTAACCTGCTCTATTACGCATACTTTATCAATTTTTTCCCTTTTTCTGCCTCACTTTTTTAACTTTCTTATTTGTGCTTCCAGGGATTTTCTCCCTGCAGAAGCTACCTGCACCCAAGTCCTTCTCTCAGGGTCCATGGTAGAGGAGATCCAAATTAAGACAGATGCCCTATGAACAAATGGCCTTAGTTGGATGTAAGCTTGAATGTTGGCCCATGGCTAGATATTTGTTAACTGAATAAACAAATAATTCTTCCACAGGGTCAAGGGGCTGCCTCCACTTATCAGGAAGAGGAGAGGCAAAAAGAGCTAAGTTGTGAGTTCTCATACTTCAAACTGCATGTGTGACAAAGTGATAGAAAATTGAACTGCCTCCCAGCTATGCAATAAAGTATGCATCAGTCCAAATATGAATGAATCCTATTTTATATAGCACTGGCATAGTTGATATTGCAATTCTGAGTGCGGGTAGACACAAGACCCTTGCGTTTATGCTGCAAAATATCTCCCTCCATATCTCAAATTATCTTCATTATTTTAGTCAATTACCTGCAAGCACCCCCATTCCAATCCTAGACTCAAAAACTTAAGATAATCTAGCTTTGGAACAATAGCTACACCTATGAGTGCATCTGCTTCCTAACCAGAGAAAGATGTAAGACTCTGGGGACAGGAAATTTTTAATTCATTTATTTGTTATTTAAAATCATTCCATAAAGGAATAAACTCTGAGCCTCCACCACGCTTTTTTCTTTCTAATTGGAAGAAGAATGCATGTTCAAGGAGTGTGAAATTAATATAGTACATGCACAATCTCAATAAATAAACACAAAAATCTTTTTGTTGCACATTGCAGGCTTCATTCAATTAGTGAAATGTTAAAACACTGCTGTGTTGCACAACTTAATCTTTCAGTATCAGGAAAACCCAAATAAAACAAATAACTAACAAATAAGAAAGTCAATGTTCTTAGCCAAACATGGAATCAGCAGAATCTGTTTTCCGAGATTCACGTTTCCATCTCAGAGCCCCATTAGCCCTCCCAGTCAATACCCTTCCCTACCTGCTAGTTCCATAGTCTTCTTTGCAGTCAGCTGTTTAAAATGTTGACTGATAGCTAAGGCAAGAAGAGTGGTTTAACATTCATGGCAAACATGTTACAGGCACCCTAACTTTGCCTACTGTACACACGGCAGACATTGATAATCTATCACTGAAATGATATTGTACTCGGTAAAGTGCTGCCAGCCTCCATCGGCAATCAGAATTGGTGCAACAAAGTCATTTCTCAACTAATCTTTGCCGAACTTATACATGTTCCTGTCAATGTTCTGACTCTAGGAATATAGATGAACAAGATAGACAATGTTCTTGCTTTTTCTGGGGTGCTAGCATTCTAATTAATGCTTTTAAAACAGAAAACTGAAAATCCGAAAGGATAAACCTCCAGGAGTTGATGATATTGGCATTTTAGATTTCATACTTCTATCAAATAGCCATTCTCATTATTTTCTTTTTTCTTTTTCTTTCTTTTTTCTTTTTTTCTTTTTTTTTTTTTTGAGACGGAGTATCACTCAGTCGCCCAGGCTGGAGTGCAGTGGCGCGATCTCGGCTCACTGCAAGCTCCGCCTCCCGGGTTCACTCCATTCTCCTGCCTCAGCCTCCCGAGTAGCTGGGACTACAGGCGACCGCCACTACGCCCGGCTAATTTTTTTGTATTTTAAGCAGAGACGGGGTTTCACCGTGTTAGCCAGGATGGTCTCGATCTCCTGACCTCGTGATCCGCCCATCTCGGCCTCCCAAAGTGCTGGGATTACAGGCGTGAGCCACCGCGCCCGGCCCATTCTCGTGATTTTCATGCAAGTTTCCTCCTATAAGTAAGTCCAGCAATTCTAGCATTGCATCATTAGGTCAATTATCTCATTATTAATAAAACTTCATGCCTAGGGGAAGAAGGTAAATAAACTGCATAGAATATTCCATTCTTCTCTTTGCCTCTTTCCATTATACAATACTGAGTGCCTACTGTGTATCGGGGCTAAATTTGGAATAGGGAATACAAAGATAATTTCATTCTCTGCCATTGTGAGGCTCATAGTGTAATGAGGGAGGTAGAAACATAAGCAGATGAACTCAAAGTAATCCTATAGAGTACTAGGACCTGAACTCACTGTGTCAGCTCAACAAGCAGACCCTAGAATGTAATCAATTCATTGTAGAATTGTTGCAGTAAATATTCTGGATGTAATGGATTACTTTTATGAACTATACCAAAATAATTAGCATCTTTAAAGTAAGCAGTCTTTTCTTTTTTTCTCTAGACATAAGGGACACCCAAAGGGGAAACAGTTAAAAACCATGCTCTAATTTTTAATGAGCATTTATCTCCCATTATTTTAAAAATTTAAAAACGCAAAATCAAACATCTATGTATTAGCACCCAAAGGTATTTTTATATTTTATTAGTCTACTGATGTTTTAATAAGGGTAAGTTAAAATTATATTTAGTCAGCAGTTTTTGTATTTTTTCTTTTAGAAATTACAAGCATTTAAGGGTAATTTATTAATTGAATTGGGCTTAAGTTTTTTTTTTTCCTTTTTTTGAGACAGGGTCTCACTCTCATCACCCAGGCTGGAGTGCAGTGGCACGATCACCACTCACTGCAGCCACAAATTCCTGGGCTCAGGTGATCCTCCCACCTCAGCCTCCCAAGTAGCTGGAACTACAGACACATGGCACCATGCCTGGCTAATTTTTTAATTATTTATAGAAACAAGGTTTTGCCATGTTGCTGAGACTGGTCTCAAACTCCTGGGCTCAAGAGATCCTCCCGCCTCGGCCTCCCAAAGTGTTGGGATTACAGGTGTTAGCCACTGCACCCAGCCAGAACTAAGTTTCAAAAGTTAGTTACGAATCTAGAAATTACAATTAAGTTAATATATTAAATCTTTACGAATTATATTAATATAAAATATTATAAAACTTAACCATTTAAGAAGACAACCACTGCTATGTCATTTAGTTAAAAACAACGTAATACATGTATAATTTTACGTTTTAAATTTGGTCTTGAACAAAGCAAAATAATGTGTCAAGCTTTTGTTATGGTAAACTAATTTTTCAAGACTGAGTGATGTCAAACTTCAGGATTCACACTCAGACACTTGCCACCAGTTATTTAAGTGGTGAACCCAGTGTAACTTAGCAGAATTCCTTCTTTTGTCTCTTTTTTCATTTTAAAATGTTTTTTTTAAAATGGGAGTTCTTAGAGCTGCTGATGTGTGTAGATCACATATGGAGTGAAATTAGAATTATTCCAAGATGTGTGGGAGTTCTCGCTGTTGAACAAGTGTCTCCAGTAATTCTTACAACGAAGCAAGCTTGGGACATCTACCCTTGTTAAGGTCAACTTTGCCAATAGATTTTTTTCTTTCCTTTTTTTTTTTTTTTTTCATTTTACTTTAAGTTCTCGGATACATGTGTAGAATATGCAGGTTTGTTACATAGGTATACACATGCTGTGGTCATTTGCTGCACCCATGAAGCCATCATCTAGGTTTTAAGCCCCACATGCATTTGGTATTTCTTCTAATGCTATCCGTCCCCTTGCACCCGCACCCCCATGACAGGCCCCAGTGTGTGATGTACCCCTCCCTATATGCATGTCTTCTCATTGTTCAACTCCCACTTATGAGTGAGAACATGTGGTGTTTGGTTTTCTGTTCCTGTGTTAGTTTACTGAGAATGATGGCTTCCAGCTTTATCCATGTCCCTGCAAAGGACATGAATTCATTCTTTTTTATAGCTGCACAGTTTCCAAGGTATATATATGCCACATTTTCTTTATCCAGTCTATCACTGAGGGGCATTTGGGTTGGTTCCAAGTCTTTGCTATTGTAAATAGTGCTGCAATAAACATACATGTGTGTGTCTTTATAGTAGAATGATTTATAATCCTTTGGGTATATCATTTTTTTCTTTCTTAAATGATCTTTTGTTGGCAGCTTCCTTGATTTCATGGCTTTGTAGCAGTTTTCATTTACTTCTGCTTTCACTCTTTTGTCCTATGTAGCGTAAAGTACTCTATATTGCATCTGTCTTTCTTAGGTTTTGGTAGTTTAATCGTGAAACTCTCTGTCTTGCCCATTCAGAGCTATGGTGCTTATGGTTGCAAAAGAAATAGTCATTTATTTTGTTGATGATAGAGCTTAAAACCAACTCAGAAATGTCTCAGCAACATCAATTCCTTATATGCAACATGCAGGCACAGTATTTGTAGTGAAGGATTAAAAATTGTTAACTCACTTGACAAGTTTAAAACAGAGTCTATCTATCTAGAAAAGGTTCCTTTTAAAAACAAATCATTACACCTATAACCTTAGGATTTTGGGAGGGTGAAGTGGACAGCTCGATTGGGCCCAGGAGTTTTAGACCAGCCTGAACAACGTGGTGAAACCCCATCTCTATTTAAAAAAATAAAAAATTAGCCAGGTATAGTGGCACGTGCCCATAGTCACAGCTACTTGGGAGGCTGAGGTGGTAGGATCACCTGAGCCTGGGGAGACTGAGGCTGTAGTGAGATGTTATTGCACCACTGCACTCCAGCCTGGGTGACAGACCCTGTCTTTAAAAAAAATTATATATACACACATATGTATATAAACAATCTTTATATATATCAACATATATTTTGTTAAGGTATGTATAACAATATAATATATAACTATATGTAACTACATATTATATATGAAGTGTATATATAAAATATATATATAAACAATCATTACCATTTCTTTTCCTTTGTCCTAATTTCTTAACTTATTTGCCTCATTTCTTACTGGTCTCATTTCCCCTGGTAAGGAGGAAAAAGGAGTGCAGTCAAGAAACAATGATTATGACAAAGAACAGTCAGTCCATTGTCTTTCTTCCACCCTTACCATTGCCTCTTCTTGTGAATTGCTGCATGCAGAAATATCAGTCTTTTTCTCATAGTGATTATACGGTACTAGACTAACTCCTTTGTGCCACAGCACCCTGGGGCTGTGTCTGGCACATAGGGAGTACTCTGTAATCTTAGGGATATTTCCCCCACTTAGTCAGTTGCTTGTTTAGTTCAGTGGCATTTTCTCGGGAAGCAGTTACCAATGAAAACCTTATCCAACATGAACTCTCAAAGGTTTATACCACCTCTGTAAGTAATTTCTGATTTTGATTTCTATTTTATAAGATACATAACTCTGTGGCCTATAAAACCAATTTTCCAATTGCTAAAAATAGCTTTTATGAAAATAGCTACTGAAAACATAAGTACAGGTTTGCTTGCTAGCTTTCTTCTGTGGGAGACCATGAAAGTACCCTGATCATTTATCTCTTTTGCTCTTATAAGGTATGGCTAATATGTGTATGGTCATTCTCTATGGAGATCCATTGGCAGAGCAACCACAATAAGCAGTAACCAGTGTATAGTCTTTGTAATACCTTTTATTTAAGAAAATGATGCTAAAAGGATCCATTGTGATGGCCATGACACTTGGATCCATAGCTGTGAGCCATGAGCCAAGAACTGTGACCACATCCTTGTGGTCTGTATGCTGTGCCACCCACCATTCTTCACTGCCTGGATTGTGCAGCCAGCTGGCTTACCCCACCCGGCACCTGCCAGGGAAAAGGTAGTAAAGACGAGAGGCAGTAGGTGCAGCCAAGCACAACAGCAGTCTCCTTGGCCAGCCAGGAGGCCCTTTTAGGGTGCTAGAATCAGTTTGGAATCCTGGGAAAGTTTACATTTTTAGCCCTCTAATTCATCGACTGCCATAGGGATAATTTGCCAAAGTAACAAAAAAGAGTAGTAATAGCCACTATATATTTGTTTATATTTTTTACCTCATTGTAATAGATCATATTAACATGAATCAAAGCAGTATATTTGAAAATAAGCAGCAAAAGTTTAGGCAAGTTGGTAAATGTCCATAATTCTGAAAATTATTTTCATATTGCAAGTTACAAAAGATCTAGATGAAACTAGAATGTGTGTGCATAGATCATGGTCATACTCAGCTTAGTGATGAGGGTGCATGTCATGGTTAGGGTGTAGTTGAAGGTCACAATCAGAGTCAATGCAGCTCTGGTCAGGGTTAGGATCAACTCTGCATAAGGATCAGGTGTCAGGTGTAGGGTAAAAGTAAGATTCAACTCAGGGTCATGATGAGGGTCAGGGAAAGGGTCATGACAGGGTGCAGCTGGGGGTCAGGATCAATATCATGGTGAGAGTAAGCTTCAATTTCATGATGAGGGTCAGGATGAAGTTGAGGCCAGTGAAGGGTTTAGTGTCACAATGAAGGTAAAGAAGGGTCAGGTACAGATTCAGGATCAGTATCAGAGGGTTAAGGTCAGAGTCAAGATGAAGGCCAGTGTACATTTCAGGGTCAGTTTTAGTATAGTTGTCAGTGCCAGGGACAGGGTCAGGTTGAGGATTGAGGTCACTGTCAGGGTCATGGTCAATGGGGACAAGTAAGAGTCAACGTTCAAAGGAGGCTGAAAGTCAGTGTCAGGGCCAGGATAAGGGTTAGGATCATAGTCAACATGAGAGTGACAGTGAGGTTTAGGATAAGAGTCATTGTTCAGGGAAGGGTAGGGGTGAGAGTCCAAGTCAGGATGAGGGTCAGAGTCAGTTTCAGTGTCAACATGAGGTAAGAGTCCATGTGTGATTTAGATCACAGTCAAGGTCATGGTCAGGGTAAAGGTAGGGTGAGAGTCAGGTTCAGGGTAGGGGTAGTGTCAGGGTCAGAGTCAGCATCAGGATCAAAGTCAGGGTGATGGTCAGAGGTAGGGCAGGGTCAAGTAAGGTACAAGGGTTGGGGGATGAGAGACAGTGTCAGGGTGACATCAGGTTTGAGTCAGATTTGAGGGTAAGGATCATGAGAAGGGGGAGGATGAGTATCAAGATCAGAGTAAGGGTCAGGCTCAAGATCTCAGAACAAAGGTCAGAGTCACGGCCATGGTTAGGGTTGGGGTCACATGGAGGGTCAGTGCCAAGTCAGGTCAAGGTCAAGATCAGGGTCAGGGTGAGGGTCAAGATACAGATCAAGGTCAAGATCAGTCAGGGAATGGGTCAGGGTCAAAACGCGTGTGAAGGTCAGAGTGAGAAGAGAGTCAAGGTAAGGGTCAGGGTCAAAGTGTGCCACTGGGAACGTGAGGGTAAGAGTTAGTGTGAGGATGAGGATCAGGGTTAGGCTGATGGTAAAGATGAGGGTAAAGGACAGGTTAAGGTTAAGGTGAAGATGCGGGTCGGATTCAGTGTCAGGGTGAGTGTCACAGTGAGTGCCGGAGTTAGGATGTGGGTTGAGGTCAAGTGAGGTGTCAGGGACATGGTGAGGGTGAGTGTCTGGGTGAGAGTAATGTAGAGGGTGTGGGTGGGATCAGCCTCAGGGTCATGGTGGGGAATAGAGTCTTGGTGTGGGTGAGCATCAGGGTCAGGTGCAGGGTCAGGATGGACAGCATGAGGGCAAAATTCTAGGTCAAGGCAAGGTCCTAGTGAGGGTCACTATGAAGGTCAGACGCACATGAGGGTCAAGAGTAAATGGACATATGACCACTATGTCCCTGACATTCACTCCGTTCATGAACTGCAGTGTCTTGGTGAGGATGAGAGCTACCATTAGGGCAAGAGTCATGTTAACAGACATGAGTTTCAGGCTCAGTGTCAGGCTGAGTGTCAGGTTAAGTTTGAGGGGTCAACTTGACCCTGACTGTGCCCAGAACCTCAATTATCATCCTGTTCTGAAAACACCCTGACCTAGACAGTGATCCTGAAGCTGACTCTGACCCAGATAATACTCTTACACTGACCCTAATCCTGCACTTGACTCTGGACTTTTCCTGACCCTAACCTTCACTCTGACCTTCACCATGATGCTGGCTGACCTTGACCGTCAGCCTGACGCTGACCCTGACTATCAAGCTGACACTTTCTCTGACATATACACTCACCCTTAACCTTATCCTTATGCTTATCCTGATGCTCTCTGACCCTGATCCTGTCTATGACCATCACTTGTCCTTGGCCCTTCCTCTGATCCTCATGCTGACTCTGAGCTGACTTTACCCTGAATCTAACCCTGATTTTCTCCCTGAATTTTATTGTCAGATTCACCATTTTTATAACTGTGAGCCTTACCCTTACACATATACTGACTCAGAATCTCCCTCTCATCTCACAATAACCCTGTCTTGCACCTGACTCTGACCTTGACCTTCAGCCTCACACTGACTTTACTTCTGACCATGAACCTGACACGCAAACTCACCCACCTCTGACCCCTAATTCCTACTCTTTCTCTAAACCAGACACTCAAGTTCACCCTGCATTTGACATTACCACTCATCCTATTCTCACATTGACCTTGACCCTTGCTTACTTAGCCTGACAATTATTTCAATCCTCATCCTTATCCTTAACCTAACCCTGACCCTGACCCCATCCCTGATCTTTTCTAATGTTGATACTGACCCTCACCTGATGTTGATCTGACCTTGAAGCTGAGCCTGAGACTTATCCTGATCCTTTCATTGTAACACTCCACTTGATGCTGATCCTTATATTGAAACTTACTCTGAATTTCACCATGACCCAACCTTGACACTCACCCTTACCCTGAACTTATCCGTCACTATGTCCCTGATGCCTATCCTCATACAGACTCTGACACTGACCTTCACCCTGAATCTGACCGATACTCATTGTGTAAGGTCAGGTACACAATGTATATATATATATCTGAGTTTAGGTTGGCAAACAGAAGTAATATTGAAAAAAATTCATATTGGGGCAAACCAGCTCAGCCTTCTTACACATTACTCTCAAATGAAACTTCTTATTGCTTTTTAGAGTAAACTGACATAAACATAAGGACAGCAAAACATACTACTTTCAAAGGCGCATTCTTACTAAAATAAAAAAATATACAAAAGACCACATATAAGCCATATTTTAACTGACCCTTATTTATTAAATTATCAGTGAATTAACAAAATATGCCTTGGATGATAATACATATATGCTTGTATTTGCCTTCTCAAAACTTTTAATTAATATAAGATAATGCTTATTAAAAAATGACCCAGATGGTTTTTAACTTTCTGTCCTCTAGGTGTCTCTTATGTCTACAGAAAAAGAAAGAAAAGGCTGATTAATTCAAGATAATAATTAATGTAGATGGTTGATTATATAGGGTATAAGAATTACAGAAAGAGTTTCTAATTGATTTCTTATTAGTTTTTTTAAAGTTATTGCAGTTAATTCACATAATAATTTAATTTGATATAGATTGTTTTATTTAATATACTGATAAATTCTATTTTAAGGCTATAGTTAAACACTTTATTATTTAATAATGTGTTGTATATCCACAAAATAGCTAATCTAGAATTAGCTCCACTTTCTAACAATACCAAATCTAGAGCAAAACCCTCACTTCCTTAGACCCTTCCCCAAGTCACCCAACAAAAGATTACATTCTATAACAGGTACTTTCTGACGCCTTTTTACTGAGACACCCTGTAGTTCCCAGTGGTGTGCATTCTCCCCCAATGCAAGCCATAATAAGCCCAATTTATTCATCTCAGGTATGTGCCTAGGGGGTCTTTGACACAAGGACACTGACAAGTTGAGTGCATAGATACGCACAGAAGCTGCGAAGTCAGCATGACCAGGGCTGGATCCCTTGTTTTTGCCTTTTCAAAATTTTAAAATACTGGAAGATAAATTCTTATGAACAAATAAGTTGGATGGTTTTAAACTTTCTGTCCCCTGGGTTTTCCTTATGTCTAGAGAAAAAAAACAGACTGATTACTTACTTAAAGATAGTAATTAATGTAGATATTGATTAAACTGAGTATAAAGATTGCAGAGATAAAAGTCTATGCAGAGGATAAATGTATTTTCAATAGTCAGAAACCTATTTTTATGTTTGTACACGTGTGTCTGCCTAAATTCATACAAATAAATGTATATCAATAGCTCCTACGCTTGATCTTAGCCAAAAGGCGGACAAGCAATATCAATAGTTCCTTTACTACAATTTGTTACATAAATAATTTGCCAAGTGAATAATTAGAATTTAGGTCTTCCATGTAAATTTACCAAATATTTTTATCCCCAGATCAATAGAGGTTTCTTTTGTCACCAAATTATTCTGTTAATTCTCAATGCTTTTTGCATATTCTTCAACCATTCTTTTGAGACTCCTTTGGATAGTGTTGACCTAATTTTATTTGTTCATATTTTAAAATGCCGGCACCTACTGTAATACACCCCTAAAATACGGACCACACAACCAGAAGATGGAGACGCCGAGCGCGTGCGCTCCTCGCTCGGCAGCACCACCCATCAGCCAGACGCTAGCCCGAGGGCCTGCCCGGCGCAAGCGCACTTGCTTGAAGGAACAGGTGGTGGGAATCTGGTTTTTAGCTGAGCCTCCAACCCTGCCTCCTGTGTCGTTCTTCCTACTGAGGAAAGAAGAGGATGCAGCAGATCTCCCCGTTAATCCCTAATCCTTGTCAGGCCGTTGCAGCAGGCACTCCCGGGGCTGCGGATGGCTCCCTACCGCGGGTTCCTGGAGAACAGCAATTTGGCAGCAGCTGCACCTGGAATAGTCTGTGCATGCTCAATAGTTGGGCAGGGGGCTTTTCCCCCAAAGATCAGCACAGGACAGGGTCAAAGGGATTACAGCGGGTGTTTCCTAGCAACGGTGAGTCCTGCCCACTGCAGATTCTGGGTAGGGGGTATGGGGCGGAGGCTACTCTCTGAAAACTTTGCCAAGAGTGGCAGTACAGCATAATTGCGAGCATGCGTTGGGGAGCAGTGGGAAGGTGACTTATGCCAAAAGAACTAAATTGCAGGATTCCGGGTGCATTAAACTTGAAATCCGTGACTGGGTCACTGGTAAAGGAGGTGGGATTGGGGTGGGCAGACAGCTCTGTTTCACCTCCCTCCCTTCCCCACCAAGGGGAGGAGTGGGTGAGTGGCTGGGTGGGGACCCCAGGTAGACCACAGGGTCCAACCACCCGTTCCTTTAAGCAAGTTTTGGGCCCGGCGCGGTGTCTCACGCCTGTAATCCCAGCACTTTGGGAGGCCGAGGAGGGCGGATCACCTGGGGTCGGGAGTCCGAGACCAGCCTGGCCAACACGAAGAAACCCCGTCTCTACTAAAAATACAAAATTAGCTGGGCGTGGTGGCGCATGCCTGTAATCCCAGCTATGCGGGAGGCTGACTCAGGAGAATCACTTGAACGGGCGCGGAGGTTGCGATGAGCCGAGATCGTGCCATTGCACTCCAGCCTGGGCGACAAGAGCGTAACTCCGTCTCAAAAAAAGAGTTTTCATCCTTGCAGAATAAGGACCCTAGAGAGGGTTGATTTTAGATATGAAAGCTAATAGTAATGCTTTCTGCCATGGGAGTTTAAGAGGTTTTGAGAGCTTTGCTAATTTTAGTTATAAAATTCCATTCGTTCTCTCTGTTCATCTTGAGGACTACAGATGATAAGGACAGTGAAGTTTCTGTGTAAAAGTACTTCAGTGCAGTTCTAGTAAAATGAGCACCTCTGTCATTGGAGAGATAAATGGGAATTCCCCAGGTGGGAAAACAAAACCAAGCCATCCCCTGAACCCTTTCAACCCCCAACCCAGCATGGAATAGCTTTCCAGCAAGGAAAAACTTCAGTCCACCCTGAGAATAAATACACAATGAGCAAAACATATTTATAATTCATTGTAAAAGGTATTTGTATGAAGTCCATTTGGAGGTATTTAAAGGGGCATAGAGGCTTTGATTCCTGTCCATGAGCCCACCTTGGCAGTTTATCAGGATGTGTCACTGGCAGATAAGACACATTTTCAAACACATCCTTGGCAGCTACATCTAAAATTAAGCCACCAGTGTTGGTCTAATATTGTTGTCAACTTATCGTTCCTTTATGGTTACATCATGAAGAATTTTCGTTAAGCTCCATTTTCAAGTGTTGAGGCACGCTCAGTTGACCATCCTGGTGATCATCTAATGATCATCCTAAATTGAATTAGAGACTTGTTTCTGACAGTTAGGAACAGCCTCTCTGAATTTCTCCAAGACTTTTCTTGTCCGTGTGATGATAGGACTGTTTATCTAGGTTAATATTGTTTGTTTAGCATAGGGGCCAGCCAAAGCATTACCATGAGTTTCTAGGTCTTGTCTTTTCAATGACTGTGTTTTTATGATAGCTGTTTTCTTAGGTAATAGCAAAGCATCTAAAAGTTCTTTAATTTGTCATTTAATTGGTGTAAGTTTTTTTTTTCAAGGTTAGAAACATCTCTGTTTCTAAACAATTCTGAATTTGTGGACTACCCCCAAAACACATTTACTATCAGCATAAATAATTGCTTATTTATTTATTTGTGAGCTGCCAAGCCCAGATAAGGACAATGATGTTAGTTATCTGAACTGATTTAATTTCTGGAAGTTGTCTATGTTTTAAGGGTGAATTTCACTCCATGATAGCATTTTAACTTTGATCAAATAAAATTAGGTCAAGGTTATCCAAGGGAATCTCTGATGATAGTTGTAGAGAATACAAAAGCAGTAGAACAATTTGTTGACAAAAAAAGGAACCTCTGTTGACCTGGGCATAAAATAAGTCACCTCATGCAAAAGACCTAAATTCTAATTTTATTCTTTTGGTATATTATTTATATAACAAATTGTAGTAAAGGATATATTCCCTTTTTGTATGCATCAAGACATACAAATATAAATAGGTAATAATTTAAAGTTTTAAACTATAGCTTTAAAGCATAATTGTCAGTATACTAAATAAAGCAGTATGTATTATATTAAATTTATTATATGAGTGAACTACACAACTTTTAAAAATATACAAACAGAAAATCCTATATATACATACCTGTATCTCTCTGCAATCCTTGTACCTAGTATAACGAACTGTCTTTGTTAATTACTATCTCTAATTAAGGGAATATTTCTTTTCTTTCTTTTTTTTTCCTCCAGACATAGGAGACATCTACAGGATAGAAAGTAAAAAACTGCCTAGGTAATTTTTCATGAGCATTTATCTCATGTTAATTAAAAGCTTTGAGAAGGCAAATATACACAAATATGTCTTATTATCCAAAGGCATTTACATATTTTGTTAACCCACTGACATTTTAAGAAGGAAGAGACAATTAAAATGAGGTTTAATAAACAGTGTATTTTTATCTTTTTTCTTTCTAGTAAGAATGTGCCTTTGATATGTATTTTACTGTCTTATCATTTATCTTGCTTTACTCTGAGAAGCAATAAGGACTTCTAATAGGAATGTCTGAGGCCGAGCCTGATTGTACTACTACAAATTCTTTTTAATACTACTACTTAGATTCATTCTCCTTTGCTCTGTTGCGTTAGTCAATTGGGCTGCTATAACAGAATACCGTAGACTGAGTGGCTGAAACAACAGACATTTATTTCTCACAGTTCTGGAGGCTGGGAAGTCCAAAATCAATGCACCAGCAGATCCCGTATCTGGAGAAAGCCCTCTACCTTGCTTACAGGTAACTGTCTTCTCATACCCTCGCATGCTGGAGGGTCGAGAGAGGGAGCAAATTCTGCAATTTCTCTCTCTTTTTTTTTTTTTTTTTTGTGACATGGAGTCTTGCTCTGTTGCCTAGGCTGGAGTGCAGTGGTGCAATCTCGGCTCACTGCAACCTCCGCCTCCCAGGTGCAAGCGATTCTCCTGCCTCAGCCTCCTGAGTAGCTGGGATTACAGGCACCCACCACCACACCCAGCTAATTTTTGTATTTTTAGTAGAGATGGGGTTTAACCATTACTGGACATGCTGGTCTCGAACTCCTGACCTCGTGATCTGCCTGCCTCGGCCTCTCAAAGTGCTGGGATTACAGGCGTGAGCCATTGCACCTGGCCTATTGGAATCTCTTTTTATAAAGGCACTAAACCCATTCAGGAAGGCTCCACTTTCAGGACCTAGAGGCCCCATTTCCTAATACCATCAGATTGGGGGTTAGAATTTTAACTTTTTTTTTTTATTATTTGAGACAGAGTCTTGCTCTGTCACCCAGGCTGGAGTGCAGTAGCACAATCTTGGCTCACCACAACCTCCGCTCACCGCAACCTCCACCTCCTGGGCTCAAGCAATTATCTTGCCTCAGCCTCCCAAGTAGCTAGGATTACAGGCACGTGCCACTACTGCCTGGCTAATTTCTGTATTTTTAGTAGAGATGGAGTTTCACCATGTTGGCCAGTCTGGTCTTGAACTCCTGACCTCAAATGATCCACCCACCTCACCCTCCCAAAGTGCTGGGATTACAGGCATGAGGTACTGCAGCCAGCCAGGATTTTAACTTACAAATTTGGGGGGAACACAAACATTCAGTCTATACCTACCTTGAAAAAAAAGAATACACCTTTTAGATGGATATGTGTTGTTCTTCTTACATTCATCTTAGTTTACTGCAGGAAACAATAAGGAGATATTTTTGAGAGGAATGTCTAAAACTGAGTTTGCTGATGCTAATACAGATTCTGTGTGCGTGTGTGTCTGTGTGTGTCAGGGACTCATTCTGTCACCCAGGCTGGAGTGCAGTGGCACAGTCACAGCTCACTGCAGCCTCAACCTCCTGGATTCAGTCAATACTCCCGCCTCAGACTCCTGAGTAGCTGGAACTACAGGTGTGTGTTACCATACCTGGCTAGTTTTTTGTATTTTTGTAGAGATGGRGTTTCGCCACATTGCCCAGGCCAGTGGATTCTTTTCAGTACTTCTGCTTAGACTCGTCCTTATTATTGTCCCTTACAGTAGGGCTGTGCCTTTGCAATGAATGACACATACTCATATGTGCTTATGTCCATCTCAGTTTACCCTAAGAAGCAATAAAGTTTCTTTTGAGAGGAATGTCTGAAACTGAGCTTATATGCACTAATACAGATTGTTTTCAATGCTACCTCTGTTTGCCTAAACCAAGATGTATTTAAGATTTATTTGACTCCAAAAAACTCAGAAACTCATATTCATCTTGATTACAATTTCTTCCTGTGAATCAGAACAAGATAAGAGGAACCTATGCTATATATGTGAAAATGAGTTCATATTTACACACTGTCCTCAACAGTAATTTCTTGCGAGTTAAAGCAGATATCATTGAAAATTGTATTTATGTGAACAGACTAGCATTAAAGAAAAAATCAGACACTTGTCTCTAAAGAAAATTCTGGTCAGGCACAGTGGCTCATGCCTGTAATCCCAGCATTTTGGGAGGCTGAGGCGGGTCAATCACCTGAGGCCAGGAGTTTGAGACCAGCCTGGCCAACATGGTGAAACCCCATCTCTACTAAAAATACAAAAATTAACCAGGTGCGGGTGTGCACACCTGTAATCCCAGCTACTTGGGAGGCTGAGGCAGGAAAATCACTGGAACCCAGGAGGCAGAGGTTGTAGTGAGCCGAGACTGTGCCACTGCACTCTAGCCTGGGTGACGGAGTGATACTCCATCTCAAAAAAATAAATAAAATAGATAAAATTCTTAACTGTTAGCATTAACCTATGCTTTACCTGAGGCAAATCAATAAGAACTACACATTTTTCTCAACTGCAGTTTCTTTCTTTTCTTTTTTTCTTTTTTTTTTTTTGACAGGGTTTCACTCTGTTGTCCAGGCTGGAGTGCAGTGGTGCAATCTCAGCTCACTGCAACCTTTACCTCCCAAGCTCAATCTATCCTCCCACTTCAGCCTCCCAAGTAGCTGGAACTACAGGTTTATGCCGCCATATTTGGCTAATTTTTTAAAATTAGTTTTTGTAGATGGCTTTTCACCATGTTGCCCAGCCTGGTCTCAAACTTCTGGACTCAAGCAATCCACCTGCCTCGGCCTCCCAAAGTGCCGGGATTCCAGGCCTGAGCCACTGCACCCAGCCTCAACTGTAGTTTCTTACTTTGAGGGAGACCACATATCAAAGCAGCATATTTGAAAAATACAGTAGGCTGGGTGCAGTGGCTCACTCCTGTAATCCCAGTACTTTGAGAAGCTGAGGTGAGAGGATCACTTGAACTGAGGAGTTCCAGACCAGCCTGGGCAACATGGTAAGACCTTGTCTCTATTTAAAAAAAAAAATTAATTACCTAGGAGTGGTGGTGCATGCCTGTAGTCCCAGCCACTCAGGAGGCTGAGGAGGGAAAGTCGCTTGAGCCCAGGAGGTTGAGGCTGCAGTGAGCCATGATCATACCAATGCACTCCCACTTGGGCAACAGAGCAAGATCCTGTCTGAAAAGAAAAGAGAAAAGAAAAGAAAGCACACAGTACATGTGTAAACAAGTTGAGAATTAGTTCTCAAAAGCACATTCTTATTGAGAACAGTAAGAAATCCAAAAGAAACTAGAGTGTGAGTGTATAAGATTTCATGTTCAAACTCAACTTGGTGATGGTTAGGTCATTATTAGAGTCAGAATCATTATAAGGGTCAGGGTGACAATAAGGGTCAGAGAGAGGGGGTCACAGACAGGGAGAGGTTAAGCGTAAATGTCATGATGATGGTGAGCTTTAGGATATGGTAAGTGTCAGGAGCAGTATCACAATCAGTATTAGGATCAGCATCTGAGGGTGTATTTGGGGATCAAGTTGGGGGTCAGGGTCAGTGAGGGGGTTAGTGATAGGGTGAGGTGCAGAGGGTCTGGTACAGGGTCAGAGTGAGAGTGGGTGTATATTTCAGAGTCAGTGTCAGGGTGATGGTTAAGGTCAGGGTCAGGGTCAACATAAGGGTCAGTATGAGGGTTGGAGTAAGAATGAGGTCAAATAAGGGTCAGTGTATGAATGAAGTTCAAGGCCAGGTGAGGTTTAGGATCAGGATCAAGGTGAAAGTGAAGATGAGGCACAGGCACAGTCATTGTTCAGGGGAGAAATGATGTGTGTATCTAGATGAGGAGTATCCAGATGTGAGTTGGGATGAGGAATCCAATCAGGTTCAGCATCGTTGTGAGGTAAGAATTAAAGATTAGGGTCATTGTAAGGATCAGGCATCACAATAGGGTGAGGGTCAGGTTCAAGGTAAGGGTGGTGTAAAGGTCAAGGCTAGGGCATCAGGTTCAGCGTGACGAACAGGGTCTGGTCAGGTTGATTATCAAGGACAGTAATGTTTGAAGAGTAAGGGAGTCAGATACAGTGCCAGGGTGTTAATCGTGGTGGGGGTGGGGCTAAGTACCAGGTCAGTGTCTTAGTCCATTTTGTGTTGTTATAAACGAAAACCTGAGGGCTGGGTAATTTATAAAGAAAAGGGGTTTAATTGGCTCACAGTTCCGCAGACTATACAAAAAACATGGCACTAGCATCTGCTTCTGGCAAGAGCCTCAGGCTGCCTCCACTCATAGAAGAAGGCAAAGGGGAGTCACATGTGCAGAGATCACATGGAGAGAGAGGGAGTGAGGGAGAGTAGAAGGGGAGGTACCGGGCTCCTTTTAACAACCAGATCTCATGGGAACTAATAGAGCAAGAACTCACTCATTCCCCTCCTTCCCTCTGCATACTCCAGGAAGGGCATTAATCTGTTCATGAGGGATTTACCCCCATGACCAAAACAACCTACACTAGACCCCACCTCCAACACTGAGGATCAAATTTCAAAATGAGGTTTGGAGGAGACAAACTTTCAAATCATTGTAGTCAGAAACTTGATAAATATAAGGGTCTGGGTCAGAGAAAGTTTGGGGTTGCAGGTGAAGATCAGCATCAGGATCATGGTGAGGAGTAAAGTCAGGATGAAGGTAGGGACAAGGTCAAGCACGGGATCAAGGACATGGTGAGGTCATGATACATTTGAGGGTTCAGGTTAGGGTTTGTATCAAGATTACAGTGAGTGAGAGGATTAGAGTGACGTTCAGTGTTAGCTGAGTCTCAGGGTCAAGATGATCATGAGGATAGGGTTCTAAGTCAAGGTCAGAGACATGGTAATAGTGAGGAGGGTCATAGTCAGCATGGCAGCCAATATCAGGTATGTGGTGAGGGATAGGTTCAGGGTGAGAATAAAAGTTAGAGTCTGGGTTGCGTCATGACGATGTTCAGGGTAAGCTTCAGCTTCAGAGTCTTTTCATTCTCAAGATAAGGGTTAATATTAGATTGAGGGTCAAAGTGAGGGTCAGGGTCATTGTGAGGGTCAGCATAAGGGCCATGATCAGGATGAGTCTCAGGGACAAGGTCCAGTTCATAGTCAAGGTGTTGGTCAGGGTGTGGGTGTGTGTGAGTGTAGGGGTTATGGTCAGGGTCAAGTTATATGGAAATAGAAGGATTGATGAGAATGTCATTGGTACAGTTAGGGTCAAGGTTTGCATGAGGGTTTCAGAGGAAAGATTAGGTTGACTGTCAGGGTCAGTTAAGGTTCAGGGTAAAGTTCAGGGCCAGGGTAAGGGTAGAGTCAGGGTGATAGCATGAATATCAGGGTCTTTGTGTGAGTCACTATCAGAGTGAGGATTACTATAAGGATAAGGGTAAGTTTCAAGATGTGGGTCATATGCAGGGTGATGGCCAAATCCGAGTAAGGGTAAAGATGAGAGTTAGGTGCAAGTCAGGTTCAGAGTGAGAATAAGAGTCATCATAAAGGTCCAATTCTGGATGAGGCCTGGGTGAGTATACGATTTGATCCAAGGTCAGAATCACTTTCAGGTGAGGGTCAGGGGAAGGGTAAGGCTGTGTGTGAAGGTCAAGGTGAAGGTGAAGATCACACTCAAGATCAGGTTCAGCGACATGATAAGGATCATGGATGGTGTCATGGTGAGGGTCAGGGTCAAGGTCAAGATGCAAAACAGTTCAGGGTAAGGTCAGAAAAGTATCTGGTTGAGGATCAGGGTCAGGGTCAAGATTAAGATTGGAGTTGGCCAAGGCTCTGGGTGAAGTTGAGGATCAGGGCTGATGTGAGAATAGTATCCATATCATGGTCAGCTTGAGTGTCAGAATCAGGTCAAGATGTTGGTCAGGTCAGGGTGATAATCAGGGCCAGGATCATGATAAGGTTAGGGCCAAGTAGAGGGTGAGGATCAGGTAGAGGTTAAAGTTCACAAGCAAGCTCAGGGACATGGTCAGGTCAGGGTTAAGGTTAGAGTGAATATCAGAGTCTTGCTGAGTGTCATGGATAAAGTCAAAGTCAGGCTCAGGGCCATGGTGAGACTCAAAGTCAGGTTGAGTGTCAGTTCAGTGTGAAGGTCAGGGTCAGGGTAAGAGTGAGAGTCATGATATGACTCAGGGTAAGAGTAAGGATGAAGGTGGTCAGGGTTATGGTCAGTATCAAGTTCAGTCAGCTCAGGTTTGGGGATATGGTGAGGGTCCCAATTGTTTTCATATTTATGATCTGGGTCAGATTGATGGTCAAGTTCAAATTTATGGTCAGGTTTAGGATAAGGATCAGGTTAAGGGTCAGTGTCAGGGTAAAGGTTAGGGTCAGGTAAGGTTCAGGATCAATGTCAGAGTGCTGGTCAGGGTCAGAGTGATGATTAAGGTGAGGTTGAGGRATAAGATAAAGGTCAAGTTCAGCAGCAGGGAGGTCAGTCAGTTTCAAGGTGTCATCATGGTCAGATTTCATTTAAGGTCAATGGAGAAAGGGAAGATAATGGTCAGGAACAAGTTGAGGGTCAGATTCAGAGTCCAGTTTAGGGTCAGGGTCAGAGTGAGATAATATCATGATGATGACAGTCAGTATGAAAGGTTGAGGGTCAGGGTCTTCATAAGGGTGGAAATCAGGGTCAGTGTGAGGGTCATGTTTAGGATAAGGGACAAGATAGAGGGTCAATATCACGCGGGTTTAGGTTAAGGATCAGAGTAAGTATCGGGTGGCCAGAATGAAGAATAGGGTCAGGTATGCATCAGGGTCTTGGTTAGTATCAGGCTTATTGTGAGGGTGAGAATCAGAATCGGTGTCAGGATGCGTGTCAGGGTCAGAATCATGGACAGGGTCATGGTGAGGGTCAGGGTCATGTTCTGTGTGAGGATAAGGGTCAGCTTTAGTCTTGACATCAGGGTGAATGTGAAGGTAAAATCATGGTGAGGTAAGGGTTAAGTTGAGGTCTGATTCATGGTAAAGGTCTGAAAAAGATCAAAGTAAAAGTCTAGTTCAAATTTAGATACAGGGTAGGGGTTAATTTCAGGGTCTAAGTCATGGTCAAAGAGAGGTGAGAGTCAGGGTGAATGTAAGTATATGTATAAAATACAGAGTCAGGGTCAGTGTGAGGTTAATAGTATGGGCCACGGTCAGGCTCTAGCACAGTGTAAGGACATGGTAAAAGTCAAGACAGTGCCATGGTTAGGGTCAGCATGATAGTCACATTCAGGGTGAAGTTCAGGTTAAAAATCAGGTAGAAGGTCATTGTTAAGGTCAGGATGTAGGACAGGGTCAGGTAAAGTTCAGCATAAAAGATAGGGTCACAGCCGCTATGGAAAACAATATGGTTGGTTCCTCAAAAAATTAAAAATTACTAGATGATCCAGCAATTCTACTTCTAGGTATATATACAGAAGAATTGAAAGTAGGGTCTCAAAGAGATACTTGAACGCTCATGTTTATAGAAGCATTATTCACAACAGGCAAAAGGTAGAAGCAACCCAAGTGTCCATGGACAGATGAATGGATAAATAAAATGTGGTATATACCGAATATTATTCAGCCTTAAAAAGGAAGGGAATTCTGACACATGCTACTACATGGATGAATCTCAAGGTTATTATACTAAGTGAAATGATCCAGTCACCAAAGGACAAATACTGTATGATTCCACCTATATACTTAGATTACTCAAAATTATAGAGACAGAAACTATGATGGTGGTTGCCAGGGTCTGGGAAAGGAAAAAAGAGGGAGTTGTTATTTAACGGGTACAGAGTTTCAGTTTTGTGAGATGAAAAGAGTTCTGGAGATTGGTTGCACAACAACGTGAATGTACTTAGTGCCACTGAACTGTATACTTTAAAATGTTTAAGATGGTAAATTTTATATTACATTTATTTTACCACAACTTTTTAAAGCCAGACTCAGTATAGTCAGTTTGATGATCAGTGTGAATGTCAGAGTCTTGGTGAGAGTCAGTGTCAGGTTGACGGTCAGGATCAGGGTCAAAGTTGAGTTGTTGGTCAGGGTCACGACCAGGGACAGGTTGAAATTTAAGTTTAGGGTAACTTTAGAGGGGTGGGATGGTTAGAGTCAATGTCAGCATGATATCAGAGTCAGAGATACTTTTAGGGGCAGGATCATGGACACAAGATGAGAGCAAGAGGGAGGGCCAGATGAGGGCCAATTTTAGGGTGAACATCAGAATAAAGGTCAGGGTCAGGTTTAGAGTGAGGATTTGGTTGAGCATGTAATACATAGTAAACTCAAGGTGAGCAGAGTCAGGTGAACATAACGGTCCTGATGAGGATGAGTGTCTGGCCCAGCTAAAGTGTTAGGGTAGTGGTGAAGTAGAATCATTTGATGGTCACTGTGAGTGTCAGGGTCTTTTCAAGGTCATAGTGATGATCAGGACAAGGATAAGGGTCAGAATTTGGGTCAGGTTCAGGGTGAGGATGAATTTAAGACCAGTATGATAGGGTGATGGTCTGGGTCAGGGTCGGGATTGAGTCACTGTTCATATCAGGGTGAGGGTAAGGGCTACAGTCAGGGTCATAGCTTCATCAGGGTCATGATGAGGGTGGGAAAGTCCAAGGGTCAGAGTTATGGTGAGGTTCAGGGTGAAAGTCAGTGTCAGAGACAGGTTTTGGGTTAGGGACAAATTCAGAGTGAGGGTAAGGGTCAGAATAAGTATTAGAGCTGTGGTAAGAGTGAGGATGAGAAATTGAGAGACAGTGGCAGATTCAGGGTCTCAGTCACGGGGAGGGTGTGGAGCAGGGTCTTCTGAAGGTTAAAGTTTAGGGTGGGGTTCAGAGACAGGGCCAGATTTATGGTCAGGTTCAAGGTGAGTGTGAAAGGGTAAGGGTAAGAGTATGGGTCAACACCAGTGTGAGAATGAAAATTAGTGTCAGACTGAGTGTCTAGTAGGTTAGGGGTAAGGGTCAGAGTCAACATTAGATAAGTGTCAGGTTCAAATTAAGGTTTGGGAAAAAATTAAGGTAAGGGTCAGACAAAGCTCAGGGTGAGGGTGAGGATGAAGGTAGAATCAGGGTAAGAGCCAAGTTCAGGGTCAGGTGCTTATTTAGCATCACGTTCAGTGTCAAGCTCAGGTCATGGTGAGAATCAGTGTGAGGTTCAGGTTAAGGGTCAGAGTTCAGTCAGGAAGAGAGTCATGTGAGTATCTAGATCAAGGTCAGGGTCAAGATCGTGATGAAGGTCAGATTCAGGATCTGAGTAATTGTGAATGTCATGGTGAGGATTAAGGTCAGATTCAGAAGGAGTGTGAGGTATATGTCCAGGGTCAACATCACGATAAAGGTCAATGTCAGCATCAGGGTAAGGGGTAGGGTTAAATTGAGAGGGTAAGTGTGAGGGTCAGAGTCAGCGTGAGGGCCATATGTTCGGGGACACGGTGAGAGTCAGGTTCAAGATTAGGATCAGATTCAGGGTGAGCATAGGGTTAGCCTCAGAGTTAGAGTCTGCCTATAGACAAGTTCATTGTGAGGGTGAGAATCTGAGTCCATGTCAGGGTCAGAGTCTGGGTGAGCATAGCTGAGAGTCATGGTAGTGTGAGAAACAGGATGAAGGACAAGGTCATGTCCTGTGTCAGAGTGAATGGCAGGCCAGGCTGAGGCTATGGTTCAACAGGAGGCTCAAAATCAGGGTCAGGGTCAGCGAAAGGATTAGGTTCAGGGTCAGCTTCAGGCTGAGGGTCAGGTCAAGGTCAGGGTGTGGGTCAGAGTCTGGGGAAATGCAAGGCCAAGGGTCACCAACACTTTTTGGGTATTTGTTGTATAGAATAACCAAAACACACCCTAGGCCTTAGAGGTGCATTATTTATATGCACCGAAAGCCAACAGCTGCTTCATTGATCCTCCGCATCCCCTGCTGTCCAACCTACTACTTTAGGTCCTTGGAAAGACCGACCTGAAGAACCCTGGCTCTTAGGAAGCCATCTAGAACAGCAGGAGTATCTGCTTTTGTGTTCCAAATGCCTCCCCAGTTGCATCCTTCAGGCTCATTGAGCTAGTGACCTGGGGTTGGTCCCAGCCTCCTAAAGGCACATTTTAATTCTCTTTATTAGGAGCAGAGGACGACTTGTCAGAGATTCCCTGGTCTTTTCTACTGATACCCCACCCCCCCCCCCCGCCGCCCACTGCAGGTTGAGGCCGATGCTGGGCTCAGCCAATCCTGTTATAAGCATTAGATCTTGTGCCAGCGACTTCTCTTGTTGCCTCATCTGTAAAATAGGGGAGTTAGGTTTTATGGCCTTTTCAAACTCTATGGGAACCTTTCAAGCATTGACTCCTTGCAACTTTTAGGCCTTGCTTCTTTTCTGAAGACTCTATGAAACAGTGTTTTCCAGCTTTTTAGATTCAAATCCCTAATGGCTAAAAATACACGGTGATGATCTCAGCTCTCACAATTCAGAGGCCGCCTCCCGTTTCATTGGGAATTGCCATAACTCTTACATAATCCCAAAGGTCAAAAAGGTTCTGGACAGCTTTAATTTCTATAGTTTGTACTATGAGAATAACAGCTTTTGGGGGACATTTTTCTAAATAACAAATTGCAATATGAAATCTGCTTTTTCAAACACCGCGCCCTACCACTCACTCCCTAGGAGAGCCCAACAAACTTCCTCAGGCTGTCATTTTCAGGTCTCTTCTCACCTCCCATTTGGGAATTTCTGCTCTCGAATCATTTAAAGATATTGATTATCTGCTCCACCACGGACCCTGTTCTCTTTCTTTTTGTCCTAGTTGCCTGTGCTTCGTGTCAGTTTTCAGATAAGAAAAGAGAGTGCTGTCAAGGCTCTATTTATAATATATCCTTGAAAGCCAAGTGCTGTCTTTGAGCTAAAACAAGGCAAGGCCACCCTTAGGGAGAATGAGAGCCCTCAATGCCCAAATGTGGGCACACGGGCACGCTCCCAGGCAGGCTTGCTCATGCACACACACACAACATCCAGGTCCAAACGAACAAGAGAAAAGACACGCAGGTCCAGGGAAAGAAGAGGAAATGCCTGGAATGTGATAGAAACTCAATACATGTTTGGTGAAAAAAAAAAAAAAAAAAAAAAAGACAAGGGGAGGGGATCAGGGAAGGAGGAATTCAGAGGGACTGCAAATTTAGTGAGGAAAGCACTGAAGTTGGAGTCAGGGGATCTGGATTTGAAGCCTGGCTCTACTTTTCTTAGAAATTTGAGCTTGGACAAGTTCCTTTCCTCTCTGAATTTTGGTTTCTTCCTCCCTTGAGTGGGTGTAAGATTTCCTTCCCAACTAATCTCATAAGATTGCTGTAAAAATCAAATGAAATAATAGCTATGGAAGTACTTTGTAAACTGAAACTACTATAAACAAATGAGGTGCTCAGTGTCGTAGCTAGCATTTTTTAGGGTGCCGTTTGCCAGTAACTACGACATGCTCTGTATACATTAAAGTATTTAACCTCACAACAATCTTGCAGATATAAGCTGTTATTGTTACTCTCCTACAGATGAGGAAACATAAAGACACAAAGTAATTTGCTGGAGGTCACACTACTAGTAAGTGATCAACTGGGATTTGAACCAGGCCTACCTTAGTCCAGCAGCCAATTCTTTTAACCACTCCACTACCTGCTAGGCCTTAATATGTATCCAATGCCTTGTCACATACACAAGTGAACTTCAATCTGCCTTTCAGTGTTAAAAGACATTGTATTAGTTGCCTAGAACTGCCAAACAGAATACCACAGACCAAGCAGCTTAAAGAACAGAAATTTATTTTTTCACAGTACTGAAGGCTGCAAGTCCAAGATCAAGGTACCAGCAGGGTTGGTTTCTGGTGAAGGCTCTCTTCCTGGCTTGCAGACAGCTGCCCTCTCCTTGTGTCCTCCCATGGCCTTTTTCCTGTGTATGTACACTCCTGGTGTCTCTTTCTCTTCTTATAAGGACACCAGTCCTATTGGATTAGGTCCCCACTCTTGCAAGCTCATTAAACCTTAATTACATCCTTATGGCCCTGTCTCCAAATACAGTCACACTGGGGGTTAGGGCTTCAACACATGAATCTGAGGGGGACACGTTTCATTCCATAACAGACAAGCAATAGATAAATACTCCAAAAAATAAAAAGTTTGTCTACTTCCCCTCTCTGTCCCCCACCCCGCCCCCAGTGAAGGATTTTTTAAAAAAATCTCATCAGGTCAACAACAGGCACTGCAGCAAAATTTTTCAGCTCTGACTTCTGCCCAGATAACTTGCTCTCCCATAATGCCAAGCAGCTCTGCTGTGAAGGAACGAAGCAAGTTTTGTGCAAAACATTGAACATGTTTCTGTTCTCTGCCTCCTGCTCAAGAGCATTCTGAAGAAGTGGAAAGATCTGTCCCACCTTTCCCTCTTGCCAGCCATTCCTATTTATAGTTTCTGATGCTGGTGGGTCTGAAGGAGTCAAGAGTTTTGAAATCACTTCCGTTGCTCTGCGGCATGTTCCCTGCCCCTGCATTGGCTTCTCCTAGGCCATTAGAAACTTATTATTTCTGGTTCCCATGTGGTAGGGGTTGGGGTCAAAGGGAGACAGAGAAAGAAAGATTTGCAGCATGCAAAAGTGTGGGTTCTTTTTTTTAAAAAAGCCTCAGAGGAAAATAAATTGTGGTTGTATCCCCGTAGTGTTTTCTGTTTAGGTCTGCTCATAACTACGCCTCCCAGTCTGTTCCTGGAAACCTAGAGAAAAAGTTTTAGGTTGACTTCATCCTTGAATCCTACTTCACAGAGATGCTGATGAATCTGAGGGCAAAGAGAGAAAGGCAAGAGGAGTTTGTTGCCTGGATGCCAGAAGCCAGTAAAGGGTTTTGCAATGCATCTCCCTATTCCTGGCGGCACATGATAAATTACCAGCATCAATCTATCTAACAGTATCAGACTTCAGAACTTGTGAGTCATATGTTCATGGCATTGCTTTGTGCAAATAGATACTGTAACTATGCATCAATCTGGCACATTTTATGAATATTTATCAAAATGTTCTCTTGTCTCCCAGCATGTATATTAATAACAATAATACTAAATAATACCAAGTTGCAGCCATGCACAAGACTCCAAACTCTGGATTTAGTTTGCAAATGTAATGAAGGCTATTTGTAATCATAACAAGAAAAAAAAAAGCCCAGTAACAAGAAGTTCTTATGGAAGATAAACTAAAGCGTATATGTTATAGTTCTATAGAGGGACGATAGAGGAAATATAGAAGTATAGTTGAACTTGATTTATTCCCAGTAAAAATTCTGCATTGGAAAGAACAGAAATTCTTTACTTTGAGAACCTTATCTATGTGACTGTGAACTAAGTCATATCCCATATTTACTCTCACAGTGCTAATCTTACATTTTCGGAAAATAAATTAGATATACTCTTTAAATTTCTCTGTTAGCTGGACTTACATTGCCTTATGAATTTGAGGGGGAAACGTTTCATAATGTTGCCATAGTCAACAAGGAGACTTCTGAGTGTCTGAAGATACAGCAAGACTAACGCATAGTTGCATTTCAAATCAACACACATTAAATTAGAAAAAACATCTGGAGAAACATATCAATATCAAATCGGCAATTTTGCTTGGAGCTTGATGCTACATTTATAGGTCATCTTAATTTTTTTCAAAGCTTTGAACTTGCCAAATTTCATTTAAAAACATTTAAAGCTGCTTTAACTTTTTATCTAATTTGGGAAAACTTTAAAACGCGTAAGAGAGAAAAATATGACAAATGTTCTTGTATCTCCCAACTAAAACAAGCTAATGTTAACAATTTTTTCAGCTGTCCTTTCAATCTTTGCTTTCAAATATATGACAAAACGTACAGATAAAGCTGAAATCCTCTCTATGCTGCTTGCAAGCCTCATGTTCCTGTCTGCCTCCCCAAAGCCACCACCACCAGGAATTTGGAAAACATCCTTTGACCACAAATATGAGCAGCCATTGATAACGTAAGATATTGCTTTGTGTGTCTTTAAACAATTATATACATACCTGACGGTATCATTCTTCAACTTAATTTTTCCTTCTGCATTATACTTTCTTGAAGGTTTTCTTTCTATGTTACTTGCTGGCGTTTAAAAATTTTTAATTTTTAAAACAATTTCCATCTCTTTAATTAGCAGGACAAGATGATTCATAACGTTAACAAATCAAAGTAACTGAGAGACATCTAGAATCTCAACACCTTACAGAATGTTATCAGGGAATGCTACTCCCTCGATGTCTCAGTTTGGGACTCCCTAAGATAAGGACTTGTATGCTCTTAGTCTATCAGGAGAACCCAGAAAGTAAGAGTGAGGGAAGTGGGGCGGTGGGCAGTGGAAGCCAATATAAATGTACATTACTGAAACTGCTACTGAGCTTGGACAACAAGGGACAACGTCTGTCAGTACCTCACGAAAAGTGCACCAAACGCTGCCCAGAAACGCTGCCCCAGGAGGCGGGGATGGAACCTTCATCTGCCAGCTCCTCTTCCCCATTGGTTGAAGATGGCCTCAGGGCACTGACTTCCCCACACTTCAGACTATCCCTTCCATGAGCCAGGAAGGCTTCAGAACAGGTGCTGAAGGAAAACAGGAAAGAAACACAGTGCACACTTCCCTGGGGCTCAGTCACCCACCTAGAACTGTTGGGCCATCTGAACCTGGCCTCCAGCTAGGACCATTGAAGCTGGACAACAGCTAGTAGCAGGCCTCTGTCTTCCTTACACATGAATCTGACTTGACTATATGGAGTAGTGCTGCCCTGCTTCCTGAAATTCAACGAATGATGGGGAGAGTAAGTTTTCCAATTCCCACGAGCTGTCTCAGTTAGAAAATTCCAAACAAGGGGTCGCCATCTTTGAAGTCACCCATCTCTTACAGCCCCAAACAAACACACACACAATATCAATGCTATTTACGCCATTCATCTTTCCACATTCTTTTCTGTATGTAGAATAAAAGAGCAGCTGCCCAGCAGCATGAAAAAGTCAACACCTTTCTGGGTGGCCTATACCAGATTACAGTTCAAGGGAATGAGCCACATGTATTTCTAAAATTCCAGCGCATAGTAGATGCTCAGTAAATTTACGGTAAAGTGTTGACTCCTACTTCATATCTAAAAAGTCAGCTTTACTTTGCATTACTCTTCAAAGGATGAGTCCACAACCTAAGGTGGTTTCATACAGTGTTCAGGTCCCTTATTTATCTCACTCCTTCCCATCCCCTGGGCAGTCACAGGACAGACGATGGGTGTGTTGTGAGAAATAAAGGGACCCACAGCATAGGCTCTACATAGGGCAAAAGGCAACAGTGGGGATTTAATGTGAGGTGGAGGGGGAACAAGGAGTTGGTAAGGAAGAGGTCAGTAGCTCAAAGGGTGAGTGGGAGAAACTAGGAAGTGTTGTGGGTTGTTGCTGATGAAAACTTTCCGTATCTTCACAATTGCTAGGAGTCTGCTGTGATTCTCTTTATGTGCAAAACTCCATTCTTTCCAGTCATCTCTCTGGAATAATTTCTATATTCAGAGCCTTCTTGTTACTTGTCATTGTCACTCAGATTGCTTAAACTTACATGATAATCTATTGTGTTCAGTCCAACTATGTCAGCATTGCCAACATTCTGCAGGGCAGAGAACATGTCAGCTGACTTCACTGTGGTGCCCAGCGTATTTGCAGTTCTCAGTGAACCCAGTTAACTGCCCATTCCCTCAACCCAGATGGCCTTTCTTTTGATTAAACATATGAGGCTTCCAATGCCAAAGGGAGACAGAGGATGATAGTTATTTTCTGGAAGACTCCAGCCATAATCTCACTTTTGCCTAAGTGTGATTTTGTTTACCTTAATTGCCTTTGTAGCTAGAGGGAGACTTTACTCTATAGGGCCAGAAAAAGACCTACGAAGGTTATTTATCATCAGGATAACAGGCTTAATTATCTGTTAGAAATAGAGACTAGATCCCTCTACCCTTTCATGCTGTCTCTGGGAAGAAGGTCGATTTCCCAGGGCCTTCCCTTTTCATCTCACCACCTTTCACCCCTTCCCCAATTAAGGCAACCAAAAATAAAACACTCATCGGATTCTACAAATCAGGAGAGGACCCTTAGGAGAAATAACAATATGAGGTGTCTTTTGCGTCCCATCCACAAATAATACCTTTTATGTTATTGGTTAGGTATGATCTGATGTTAGACTTTCAAACCATGAGTCAAGTAAACACAAAAGTCTGAGACTTGCTAAACTCTAACACCCTGTTTTCTGGCTACCGTTTTTTCCCCTCAATAGTCTCAATTTTTAGGTAATATCCTGTAACTGCAAATAGGTTTTAGAAGACTGATTTGATTTTTTTTAGTTAATCAATAAGGTTCAAATGTATTTTTGATTTACTAGGCTGCGAGGCATACACTGCATTTATATTAGAGCTGAGCATTATAGGAAGCAAGGACTGTCACTTCTAAAGGATGCCACCATCCACACACTTCCTCTGTGTTTTCCCCCTTCTGGCTACAAGAGCGTTCATCATTCCTAGTTCTTTATGCTTATATAACATCTCAACACTTTCTTAGTTTCGATGGAAGACACCAGAATATTTTTTTCTTAAAGAACTCTGTGCTATAGATATGCATAGATGGCTTTTCAAAACAATTAATTAGAGATGTAGCTTATTCTTGTACTCCATACCAAACATACAATGAAACACTACCCTAACAACTGGGTAGGGTACCAATTTCAAGATTAAAAGCATTAGCCAGGTGTGTTTTTTCAAAGATTCCATTTTTCCAAACATCATGTTCAAGCAAAAGGATCAAGTGCATTGATGGTTTTCTAATTATTAAAGGAAATTTTTTTTTTAATTTAACAACCATTACTGTTTTGCTGAGTGGTTCCTGTTGATAGATATTATGCCATGTCTGTATGGGTGATAATTAATTTTATGTGTCAACTTGGCAGGGCCATGGATGCCCAGATATTTGGTCAAACAGTATTCTCAGATGAGGTTAACATTTAAACCAGTGCACTGAGTGAAACAGATAGTCCGCCCTAATGTGTGTGGGCCTCATGCAATCAGTTGAAGGCCTGAATAGAACAGAAGGTTAGCCCTCCCTAGAGTAAGAGAGAATTCCTTCTGCCTCGCTGCCTTTTATCTGAGACACTGGGTTTTTTCCTGCCTTTGGACTTCAGTGAAAATGTCAGTGTTTCCTAGGTCTCAAGCCTGCCAGCCTGCAGACTACAACTTACAACATTGGCTTTCCTAATTCTCCAGCTTGCTGACACACCCTGCAGATCTTCGGACTTCCCATTTCCATAATCACATGTGCCATTTTTTAATAATAAACCTTTATAGCTGGGTGTGGTGGCTCATGCCTGTAATCCCAGCACTTTGGGAGGCCGAGGCGGGTGAATCACCTGAGGTCAGGAGTTTGAGACGAGCCCGGGCAACATGGCGAAACTGTGTCTCTACCAAAAATACAAAAATTAGCTGGGCATGGTGGCATGCACTTGTAATCCCAGCTACTCAGGAGGCTGAGGCAGGAGAATCACTTGAACCTGGGAGATGGAGGTTTCAATGAGCCAAGATCATGCCACAACAGTTCAGCCTAGGTGACACAGCAAGACTCCATCTCAAAAGTAAATAAATAAATAAACCTTTATATAGTAAATCTGTGTGTGTGTGTATATATATGTATGTGTATATATACATATAATGTGTGTGTGTGTGTGTGTGTATATATATATATATATATATATATATATATACACACACACATATACATATACATATAATGTCCTGTTGGTTCTGTATCTCTGGAGAATCCTGACCAATCCCTAATACAGCAGGAATCTAAAAGTCAAGTTTGCAAACCACCATTATGCCCAGTGTACCAGTTGGGCTTCATTTAACATGTAAGTCCACATGCAATTCTACTCATTTTCTGGATTAATGAAGGTGTGGTGCCAGCTGGACCAAGCTGTACTGACTACATCTCTAGAGCTTCAAGTGGCATCCTCTGCATAGCAATATTTTGTGACTTTTCATAGCGCATTTTTTTTTTCTTTTTTTTTTTTTCTTTTTGAGACGGAGTCTCGGAGTCTTGCTTTGTAGCCCAGGCTGGAGTGCAGTGGCGCGATCTCGGCTCACTGCAAGCTCCACCTCCCGGGTTCACGTCATTCTCCTGCCTCAGCCTCCCGAGTAGGTGGGACTACAGGCGCCCGCCACCATGCCCAGCTAATTTTTTCTGTGTTTTTTTTAAGTAGAGACGGGGTTTCACCGTGTTAGCCAGGATGGTCTCGATTTCCTGACCTCGTGATCCGCCCACCTCGGCCTCCCGAAGTGCTGGGATTACAGGCCTGAGCCACCACGCCTAGCCTCATAGAGCATTTTCATAAGCCTGACATCATTTCATTTTGGCCTTCATTTAGAAATAATGATGAGTATTAATAAGTGCTTAAGGCACAATGTCTCTTTTCTCATGAGAGCCTTGTCAAATGAGTAAGTGAGCTTCTAGAAAGTTTGGTGCAAAATGGAAATGTGCATATAAATGCAAAAGTGGGGGGATATGGGTGTTCTAAGCTCTGTAAACTTAGGTACAACTTCCCAAGCTACTGCTTATCTCTGGTAAGGAGTTGGAGGGAACTCTGAATTTTCTGGAGAGAGCTGTTCAGGAACTATCTGTCATAGAAGAATTAAATAAGTCTTGTTTGGAGGAATACTGAACAGGAGCATCCTATCTGTTTTCTGCTACTTAATATTTTAAAGCAAGCCCATTCTACCAATGGTTTTGTTAGACTTTCATGTTTTTTTTTTTTCTTTTTTGAGACGGAATCTTGCTCTGTCACCTAGGCTGGAGCGCAGTGGCACGATCTCGGCTCACTGCAACCTCCATCTCCTGGGTTCAAATGATTCTCCTGCCTCAGCCTCCCAAGTAGCTGGGATTACAGGCATGCGCCACCACGCCCAGCTAATTTTTTTGTGTTTTTAGTAGAGACAGGGTTACACCATATTGGCCAGGCTGGTCTCGAATTCCTGACCTTGTGATCCACCCACCTTGGCCTCCCAAAGTGCAGGGATTACAGGTGTGAGCCACTGCACCCAGCCAGCTTTCATGTTATTCTAATCAACACACAGTGCCAGGTGGCAGACACTGTGTCACTATGAGGAATGCAAATCAAACCCCAGTAAAACTCACTCCATTTTAACCAAAGGCAATTATGTTCTTTTATATAATTGGTCTTTATTTGGATCAAATGCTACTCAAGGAGGGGAAAGGAAGTTTAAGTAAGTCATCAAAGAGAATCAGAAAATTCCACATCTGCAAGGCACCTTACAGATGATGTAAGTTCAAGTAAGTGAAGACAAAGGAAGCCTAGCAAGCTTAAACATCCACTCCCGGCTTATGAACCTGGATGGCACCAAGCTAGCAGAACAGCATTACCTACAAGACTGTAGTGGTCAGGTCTTGTCCACTTATGTGAGGCCTCTGCTGGTACCAGTACCCTATTTTTCTTCTGTGGACCCTCACCCTACCTCTACTCTCAATCTGCATTATACCATTAGAGCTGACCTAAACTCTAGCTCCCGGGGAAAGCATGTGACCCAGGAATGGCAAATCTGAATCTTCCAATCCCCAGACAGGCATCGGGTTGGTGACAGGTATGTGATCCAAGTCAGGACAACCACAGACAATTCTAAGACTTTTTCTTACAACTGGACAAAAAATGCATCTTTCCGATTATGGAGCTCCTGGTAGCTTATCACAATTTGGAAAGCGCCTGAACAATAATGAAGTAAACACAGAGAGCAGGGCCAACAGATGGAGAGAAAGATTTCTGAAAACACTGTTGAAGCCTGTTGGGGTTGAAATGTGTCCGCCTCCAAATTCATATGTTGAAGCCCTAACCTTCTGTTCCTCAGAATGTGACCTTATTTGGAAATCGGTTCCTTGTAGATGTAATTAGTTAAGATGAGGTGCCTAGGGTGGGCCCCTCATCCATTATGACTGGTGTCCTCATAAAAAGGGGAAATTTGGACACAGAGACATGCATCCAGGAAGAGCACCATGTGAACATGAAGGCAGAACTTGGAGGATGCTGCATGTGAGGGAACACCAAAAATTGCCAGCAAACTACCAGAACAAAAATTGTCAGCAAACTACCAGAAGCCAGGAAGAGAAGCAAAAACAGATTATCCCTCACAGCTTCAAAAGAAACCAACCCTGGTGACACTTGATCTCTGGACTCTAGAACTTTGAGACAATATATTTCTGTTGTTTAAACCAGCCAGGCTGTGGCTATGGCACTTTGCTATGACAGCCCCAGCACACTAATATACAGCCCCGACCAGTCTTGCCTGAAGGAGGCTTACCCTAGAATTTTTAGTTTCCTGAACTGAAAATTTATTTTTTTCTTTCTTTCTCTCTTTCTCCCTCTTTCTTTTCCTTTTTTTTTTTTTTTTTTTTCTTTACAGGTATCACTCTCTGGCCCAGGCTGGAGTACAATGGTGCAAACATGGCTCACTGCAGCCTCAGCCTCCTGGGCCCAAGCAATCCTTCCACCTCAGCCTCTTGAATAGCTGGGACTTCAGGTGCATGACACCATACCTGGCTAATTTTTGTATTTTTTGTAGAGACAGGGTTTTGCCGTGTTGCTCAGGCTGGTCTTGAACTTCTGGGCTCAAGTGATCCTCCTGCCTCCACCTTCTAAAGTGCTAAGATTACAGGTGTGAACTGCTGTGCCTGACATTTTTTTAAAACTTAATCCAATTTGATTGAGTTTCTAGCATTTGCTACATAAGATTCCTCACAAATACTCCATTAACCTACAAGCATCAGAGGAGGGGAGCGCAGGATGTTGATGGAATAAGACTGTGTCACCTAGGAAAGGTTGAGGGAGCTGGGAATATTTAACCAGCAAAAAGACAACTTTACAGGAAAGGGGGTAAGGAAGAGTAGCACCATCTTCACATAAGCTCCATGAGAGAAGGGATGTCTTCTGTGTGATTCCTTTCTGTATTTCCAGTTCCTGGCACATAGTAAGCTGCTCTACAAACATTTAAAGAACAATTGAAATGAACATCTCAGGGCCGGGTGCAGTGGCTCACGCCTGTAATCCCAGCACTTTGGGAGGCTAAGGCAGGCAGCTCACTTGAGGCCAGGAGTTTGAGACCAGCCTGAGCAACATGGTGAAACCCCATCTCTACTAAAAATACAGAAAGTAGCCAGGCATGGTGATGTGTGCCTGTAGTCCCAGCTACTTGGGAGGCTGAGGCATGAGAAATACTTAAGCCTGAGAGGCCGAGGTTGCAGTGAGCAAAGATTGCACCACTGCACCACATCCTGGGTGATAGAGCAAGACTCTGCTCAAAAAAAAAGAAAAGAAAAATCTCAGGGTCCTTCATTGCAAGCAATAGAACATGTTTAAGAGAACAAAAAAAGTAGGGGAAGGTTTATTAAAAGGTTATTGTTGAAGAGACCAAATAACTGCTAGGGATGGCTGGAGAACCCGACTAGAACGAGCAGCCAGCATCATAACCAAAATCATGCCACAAAACCAGATGTGAGGACTCCACTCACATTTGTCACTGTTACCAAGGACTAAGAGAAATTTTTTACAAAAACATTGCATTCCAATCTCAGTTTACCCATGCTACATTCTGGTCCACAAATGTAAAATATTCATAATGTCTTCAGGGATTAGACCATGTTGGGGATAGCTCTGCTGCCAACTCTTCTAACACAAAGTAATGTTTTCAATGAAACAATAATCACGGCCGGGCGCGGTGGCTCACGCCTGTAATCCCAGCACTTTGGGAGGCCGAGGCGGGCGGATCACGAGGTCAGGAGATCGAGACCATCCCGGCTAAAACGGTGAAACCCCGTCTCTACTAAAAATACAAAAAATTAGCCGGGCGTAGTGGCGGGCGCCTGTAGTCCCAGCTACTTGGGAGGCTGAGGCAGGAGAATGGCGTGAACCCGGGAGGCGGAGCTTGCAGTGAGCCGAGATCCCGCCACTGCACTCCAGCCTGGGCGACAGAGCGAGACTCCGTCTCAAAAAAAAAAAAAAAAAAAAAAAAAAAAAACAATAATCACATCTATTAAATGTTTGCTGTGTGCTGGGCTTCAGGCACTACATGTGTCCGGCACTATGTGTGTCAGGCACTGTGGGATTATAGATGGATGGAATAGCAGAGTTCTGCAGGGATATTTAACAGGTGTGTGTCTTTAGTTAAGTGACTGAACTCCTCAGTACCTCAGTTTCTCAATTTATAAAATGGCAATGATTCTTAGATGACATACCTCATACATTCTTAGGAGGATTGTATTAAAATTGAGTTAGTATATATAAAGTAGCTACAACAGTGCTTGGCATATAGTACCATGCGCTCTTCATCACAATTCTATAAGTGTGGTGTGACATTTTATGATGCTGAAACTAAGGTCCAGTGAGCATTAGTGTCCTGTGCATAGTAACACAAAGTGGTTGGTCCTAGATTCAAATAGAAATCTATCTGATTCCATACTCTGAAATCTTAGGCATCTACAGGATTGACATTAGAAGCAAATTATGTTGAAGTGCCTCAGTCATACCTGAGGTGTAAAGCCGTGCACAGTTTTGGACAACAGAGAAATTAGCACAATTTTCAAAATATATTTCCTGCTCCATTTTTGCATATCTTACACAAACTGCTTAGATACCTAAGTAGTTTCAAGTATTTCTTTAATAGATTATTAGTAAAACCACAAAGGCAATACAAGTGCTTAATTTGGAACTTGCTTAGAACCTGAATGCAGGGTGCCCGAGCTTGCAAAGCAAAAATACTGGTTGCCCAAGTGTGTGATTTTATGGAGCAGAATCGGGTTAGAGTCAGTCTAGATTAGCAGCAAGTCAGCCTCAGCCAGTGCCACCCATCCCACTGGAAGTATGAGGAAAATTATTGCTCTTCTCCCCAGAAAAATATACATATAATTTCAGAGGGTTCATGGACATGTAAAGATATCTGTAAATTCCAAGTGAATATCCCCTCTTCTTGATTAGTGACTCTAAAATAGTTTTTTAAATCTGCAATCATTTTTTGATTCAGCATCACACCATAGTTCCTCCTAATGTTCAGTAAAAAACTAATATCTGCATGCTAGTATGTGAAGTTGCATAGAAGCCAGATTTTTTCATCCAACAAATATTTATCGAGTGCCTAGTATACATTTGACATTGTTTCTAGGCACTGGTGACATAGATATGAACAAGATAAACCAGGCCCTTGTCATGGAGCTGAAATTCTAAGGGCGAAACCTACAATAAACATGAAAAAGCAACATACGAAATAAAACAGGGTAAGGTAACCAAGAATGGCTGGTGGCTATTTTAGATGGGGTGGGACAAGGAAGGCATCCCTGGAGAGTCAGCTGAGCTGATACCTAAGTGAGGGGACGGAGTCAACAGTGTGAAGCACTCAGAAACGGCACTTCAAGGCAGAGGAAATGGCAAGTGCAAAGCCCTAACAGGTAAGGGATTGGTCTAACTGAGAAACCGAGGCAGGACCAGTGTAGTAAATTAATACTGAATTTAAGGCTTCAGTAAATCTAATACTGCACTAAGTTCAGTTTCTGGATATTTAATTTGAGCAAGTACTAATAACTACTTAGTAAGTACTTAATAGATTTTTAAGAACACTCTGGTCCTGCATAATAATGAAAATCTAGGAAGCCAAAAGATGTCAAGAAAGAACGAGGATTTTCTTTTCTTTTAGACACAGGGTCTTGCTCTGTCACCCAGGATGGATAGCAGTAATGCGATCATAGCTCACTGCAGCCTCGAACACCTGGGCTCAAGTAATCTTCCTGCCTCAGCCTCCCAAGTAGTTGGGACTACAGGCACACACCACCATGCCAAGCTAATTTTTAAAAAATGTTTTGTATAGACCAGGTCTTGCTATGTTGCTCAATCGGGTCTTGAACTCCTAGGCTCAAGCCATCCTCCCTCCTTGGCCTTCCAAAGGGCTGGGATTACAGGCGTGAGCCACCATATCTGGCCATTTTTTCAATTATCAAATACCCTATCAGGAAAACCTGCATGGCTATCGATCAATTTTTAAGAAATTGCTGAACTAAATTCTTCCTTGGGGGACAGCCCCAAACTACCTCTATGAGCTGGAAGCTTACATGCACCCATCTTTTAGATCCTGCCTCAGTCCCTGCTTTTACTTAAAGCAGTAAATCTTCAACATCTCTAAATTATATTCCAAACACAAGCTTATTTTTGGAAGAAAGACAAAGTCTCATGTTTCTAGTAGGCATATTTCAAGTTTGGGGAAAAAAATAAAAGTAATTACAGTTCTGACCATAAGTCAAAACTCCAAGACTTTCTAAAAATGCCTTACAAAGGCAAGACTTTCTAAAGAACCAAAAAAGAAGGAAAACATTAATTTAAAAACTGCAAAAGTTTTTATCCTGCCTCAGAATTTCAGGAATGCTGCTATAATGGATTCATCTTAGTGCAGATGAAGTCGAGGACAGCAATAGAGTTTTCTATCACCCGCAACAGCAGCCATTTCACTGCCATTTAACAAAACATCACCAAAGTAGTGGTTCCCTGAAGATTCTTCCTATAAAGTAATGTAAAAAGCTGGTGGCATTCAACTTTGAGTAGATATATATGTGTGTGTGTGTGTGTATATATATATATATACACACACACATATATATATATATATTTTTTTTGAGACTGAGTTTTGCTCTTGTTGCCCAGTCTGGAGTGCGATGGCACGATCTTAGCTCACTGCAACCTCTCTCTCCCGGGTTCAAGCTATTTTCCTGCCTCGGCCTCATGAGTAGCTGGGATTACAGGCATGTGCCACCATGCCTGGCTAATTTTGTATTTTTAGTAGAGACGGGCTTTCTCCATGTTGGTCAGGCTGGCCTCGAACTCCCAACCTCAGGTGATCCGCCCGCCTCGGCCTCCCAAAGTGCTGGGATTACAGGCATGAGCCACTGCACCCAGCCAGAGTAGCTATATATTTTTAACCCATATTGAAATAACACAGAGATCTTTCCGTTTATTATCTAGTTTATTGAGAAATTTACTAGATGAAATGCATTAGCTTAATGTCAAGGGAAAGAAAATGGAAGGTTTTCCCCATCATCAGGGCATTAAGCCTGCAGGACAGAATTGAATGAAATAATATTTATTAAGCACTTAGAGACATGTTGAAAGATTAAAGTGTTAGCTCCCAGAGAACATTACTGCATCTTTTGTGTAGGGCTTTCAAAAATTTTATTTTACTTGGCCCTTATAATAACTATTATAGTTATCATATTAGTCTTTGTGGTTGTAAGTCAAAGAAGCATGTCTTAAACCTGCATAAGCATAAAAGGGAATTTATTGGCTTATATAAAGTGTGATGCATTCAGGTCTGGCTAGATCCAGAAGCCAAACTACCTCTCTTACTATTCTCTCTCATTCTCTATTGTTCCTTTCCCTATGTCTTGGCTTCATTTTTTCTGTTAAATTTAACATGTTAGTGTCATTTTCTCCTGTTGCAGATTATTTCCCACAGGCAGCTAAAGCTTACATCATCCTTGCAGATTGCAAGTCCAGATGAAGTGGACGTCAGATCGTGTGGAAAGTCTAAGTGGCCCTACTTTGGCCATGTACCCTTTCCTCGAACCAATCTCTATGAACAATGGAACCCTTTACCATCTGTATTAGTCCATTTTCACACTGGTGATAAATGGACTAATACCCGAGCCTGAGTAATTTATAAGGAAAAAGAGATTTAATGGAGTCACAGCTCCACGTGGCTGGGGAGGCCTCACAATCATGGTGGAAGGTGAAAGGCACATCTCACATGGTGGCAGACAAGAGAAGAGAACCTGTGTAGGGAAACTCACCTTTATAAAACCATCAGATCTCGTGAGACTTATTCAATATCATGAGAACAGCACAGGAAATACCCGCCCCCATGATTCAATTACCTCCCACAACTGGGTCCCTCCCACAACACGTGGGAATTGTGGGAGCTACCATTCAAGATGAGTTTTGGGTGGAGATAGAGCCAAACTATATCATCATTGACGAGGCTCATGTCTGTGGCCATTCCAGTGGCCAGGCACTGGATATGATTGACAGTCCAACCACAGCCATATGGAATTAGGGTTGGGGGTACTCACTCAGCAATGGAAAAGGGAGTGCTAAGCTGACAAAAGCTACAAATAGACAGTGCCAATATGGTTAGCCCTATTTTGCAGATGAAGAAACTTTAATGGTGAACTTAACCAAATTAAAAATTATCTGTTAATGCCTCAAATCTCTACCCGAAGATTAAGCCTTCCATTCCAAAAGACAGATAAGGTGTAAATTGTACAGTAACACAATGAATTAAATTCACATCGAAGTAAAACTATCTGTTACAAGATCCTTCTCTGAGAGTCTGTCTTATTTAGGGGACAAATACAGTGTCTAACTAAAGGAGGAAAAAGAAATGCAGCAAGGAGAGTTGTTTGAGTCTTTGTCATTCTTTCTCTAGGCTGCAAACTTTCTGAAGGAAAAATCTGCTACTTCCTCTTCTTTATCTCCTGCAGGGCTTGGCAAATGATAGCACACAGCAATAAAGGGAGCCAAATAAAAAGAAATAAATTAGCACCCTTTGCTTGTCTTCTTTTCCTAGTAAACTGATGTCAGATCAGTATGTCACCTTCAATTCTATGTTCATCTGATAGATAGGACTGACCTTCCACGTTGGCAGAAACTGAAGGCGTTTGATAGAGATTTGAGAGCAGAGCAAATAAGCCAGAATCAAGAATTTACAGAATATCAAAGCTGAGTTTTAAATACAATAAAATTCAACTGTTCTAATTTTATATATCAGAGAATATATTTCTGGATGCCAGAAAGTGTATACCAAGCCCAAAACTGTCTGTGGGGTTGGGATGGGGGTGGTGGGGAGAGGTGGGGTGGTGGGGGTAGGGAATTAGGTTGCTGTCCTTGGTCCTGAATTACCACTCCTTGCATGTTGTGTTTCCTAATGTTGGACACCTGGACTCCTGTCTAACCTCTCCAGGCACTATGGATTTTTTCCGTATTTTGTTTTTCAAGATTGATGGGGGGAAAAGGCAAATTATATACTACTTCAGAGAACAAAGAATTGAGCCTTATATCACAGTATATAGGTTATTCCATATGCTTTTGATAGTTTTCATTTTTCTGACAGTTATTCATCCTCTCATTCCCAGGATTTGCTTATGATGTCCAAAGAAGTGAGTTAGTTTGTTTCACGTTCACAAATGAACTAGAGGTTCCAGGCTTCCCGAATCCTAGCCAGCTGTTTCCCTCATCACCCCCACCCCTAGACCTCACCATCTTACTAGTATCTAAAGATGCCATTCTAAGAGCCTGGAAACTAAGGCATTCCCACTCTCTTAGAAACCTCTGTATTCATTATCTATGGCTGCATTAAAAATCACCCTTAAAACTAAGGAGCTTAATGTAATAGATCTGTATTATCTCATAGTTCCTGTGAGTCAAGAATTCAAAAGCAGCTTAGCTGAGTAGCTCAGGCTCAAAGTTTCTCATGAGGTTGCAGTCAAGATATCAGCCAGCATTGCAGTCAACTGAAAGCTTGCCTAGGGCTAGAGAATCTACTTCCAGGGCGGCTCACTCGCATGACTGGCAAGTTGAAGGTGGGTGTTGGTGAAAAGCCTTAGTTTCTCACTGTGTCGCCTGTGGAGAGGCCACTTAAGTGTCATCACAATATGACAGCCACCTTCCCCTAGAATGGGCAATCCTCAAGACTGGGGTAGAGGTAGCAATGTTTTTCAGGATACAGTCTCTGAGGTCACATACTGTCACTTCTATTAGTCCAAGAAACCAACCTGATTCAAAGGCATGAATGCTAGAGGCATGGATCATTGGGGGCATCTTGAAGGCTGGCTACCACAGCTTCTTCCATGCATCCTTGTCATCGCACTTGTCCCACTGCGTTATAATTACCATTCACTTGTGCACCCTTCTGTGGCAGATCCAGTTACCACCATGATAACTGGGTTGTGAAGAGAACCCTGATTTTGTGCAGGTGTTAGAAAGCCCTTTCTCCAGGGGTCAGCAAACTATGGCCCACAGCCTGTTTTTACATAGCCCATTAGCTAAGAATAGATTTTACATTTTTAAAGGTTGTAAAAATTGACAGAAGAAGAATGTGCAACACAGATCATATATTACATACAAGGCCTAAAATATTTGCTATGTGGCCCTTTACAGAAAATGTTTGCTGATCCCTAGTCCAAGTCATTGACGGTAATCCTATTTTAAACTTGCCCTTAATGGTTTAAGAATGGGAAGGTATCCCAAGTCTGGCCTGTAGGATATAAGAGAAAGCCTATTGGGCATTGGGGGGCTTCTGGAAAGGATTTTTCTCCCTCATTAAAAAAAAAACTGATATATCAGAAGAGATCCCTTATGCCTTTCATCCATCCTGCTTTGGGAGTTATTTGTGAGAATGGAGCTATGGCAGCTATTTTGCAACCATGAGGGAAAAGCAAAAAATATTCTGGGGAAGCTCACCCAGATATCTGACCTTGTTGAGTTGTCCAATTAAACAATCCTAAAATAACTTCCAGATGTTTGTTACAAGAGAAAATTTCAAGTATCTTTAGGAAATTCTTTGAGTATCTTGTTAATTGCAGCTGGAAAAATTCTAAATGATATATGCTCCCTCTAGATAATAAAATTTTAGAGAGCAAAGGTCCTGTTGATTACAAAATCTTCTATTTCTACAATAGGCCTGGAATATAATGAAGTTTTAAGTATTAATTGTTTAAATCAGAGTTTCTCAACCCCAACACTATTGACATTTTGGGCCAGATAACTTTTTTACTATAGGGGCTTCCCTGTACATTAAAGGATGTTTAGCAGCATCCCTGGCCTTTACCCACTAGATGTTACTAACATCTCTTTCCCACAGATGTAACAAACAAAATGTTTCCAGGGACTTCCAAATATCCCCCTGGGGCACAAAATCATCCCCAGGTGAGAACCACTAGTCTAAATAAATGATTATTAGGATATTAATTTCTACCATAAATTGTCATGCAAAACTTCAGATTCATCTTGGGGCTCAATCAGACTTTGGTCAAGGCAGAGAGAACTTGGAGACAGTGGGTTGAGAAGTGAGACAGAACTATAAAGACAGTGAAGAGGAGGCGGGCACTGTAGCAATCTGAGCTCTGTCTCAGGCTGGCCAGGCCTAGAGAGAATCACTAACATCTCTTCTGGTCCTAATTGAAATGTAGAAGTCATGAGAGCATAATGAGAATGATTTCTTGATCTGTCTTAGACAAAATAGTTCTGGGGACTGCAAAGGTGCAGACAACAGAGATGAAATAAATGTGATCTTGTCAATGGTATCCAGAGTCCAGACAGCCCCTAGCCCTTTGGGAGAAAGGTTATGACAAAGGACCGGGGAAAAAAGATGAGAAGATAGCACATGAAAGTGGTTGGAAAAACAACCCAATAATGAGAAAAATATATCAATCTTGCAGAGTGGTTCTCTGCAACACGTCTATCTCTTGAAACGACAACAGAAAAGTTTCCATCAAACTGTTTCCCGTCAAATGCTGGCCCCTGACAGATTGTGGCATATGGAACGTGGTTTGTCTTTTAAGTCACTGGGGTTTTCTCATTCAACTTCACCAAATCATGGCTGTAATTATGGCAGTAAATGCCTCTCAAATAGCAGCTTTTTTCCTCTTTAAAAGAGTGAACATTTTAACAAGGATGTCGAGGACACCACAAAGAAATATGCACTGCAGGGCTTCTTGGAAGACAAGCTAGAGATGCGGTTCACTCCTCAGAAAGGAGGCTGATTTCCTAGAAAGAGCCAGGGTGAAAGGTGAAATAAGGCCAGAGTTCCAATCCAGGCTGACCCTTTGCTCGCTCTGTGGCCTTAATGAAGCAAGTTCCTCTATCTCTCTGAGCCTAAGCTTTCTCAGCTGTGAACTGGAGTTAATTTGTGAGGATGAAATGGGAGCATCTATACAAAAGAGTTTTCATAACTTCACCTCCATGTGCAGGGAATCTTATTATCCTCACCACCTCCACAATTCATGTCCCTGTATGAGTGATGACAGCCAAGAGACTGCATCTGCAGGACTCATGCTAAGCATTCATGCGCCCAGCAGTGGTCTTTAGATATCATGTTAATTTAAGTATGATCCTCTTGCCTAAAATTCCTCCATGTGCCTATTGTCCCATCTTTAACTCAGATGACAAAGACCTCCATGATTCAGCCCTTCCCAGAGCTCTAGTCTCAAGTCTTCTTGCTTTCTACATCACATCTAGACTCTAGCCATTTCAAAATACTTGCAGTTTGCTGCATGGACCACTTTTTCTCACTTCTAGGCCTTGATACATGGGTGCTTTGGAACACTAAATTCTGCTTTTTTTCGATGCCCCAGCTTAGAAGTCACTTCTCCTGTGTTTTTGGCTCAGTTGTGCACCCCCCTCCCCCGCCCAACCACAAAAAAAAAAAAAAAAGAAAAAAAAATCCATGTTGAAGTCCTCTCCCCCAGGACCTCAGAATGTGACTCTATTTGGAGACGGGGCCTTTAAAGAGGTAAGTAAGGTAAAATGAGGTCATATGTGTGGTCCCTAATCCCATGTGACTCATGTCCTGATAATAAGAGGAGATTTGGATGAACACAGACATTCACAGAGGGAAGACCACGTGAAGACACAGGGAGAAGATGGCCATCTGGAAGGCAAGGTAAGAGGCCTTAGGAGAAACCAGTCCTGCCAATGTCTTGATCTCCGACTTCTAGGCTCCAGAACTGTGAGAAAATCAATTTCTCTTGTTGAAGCCACCAGGTCTGCAGTACTTTGTTATGGCAGCCCAAGCATACTAACATGCTCTGGAAGTCTTCCATGAATTCCCCGAGACCAGCTGTGACACTCTCACACCATCGTTCATTTTTCTTTTCAAAACAGCTATCATATGGAATTGTCTCCTTTCTGGGTCTGTCTTCATCTTAGTGTGTGAGTTGGTGAGGTGGCTTGAGGGGTGAACAATGGAAGGTCCTGAAGTCAGGGACTGTGTGTCTCTCTGCACCATGAATATTTACCTGAATACCTGGGATATCAAAGGCAAATGTATGTTGCCCATAGATGAATGCATAGATATGAATGAAAAAATATTATGTCAGTCATCCAGATAATTCAGGCAAACAAAAACTCTCTCACTGAAGAAAAGACATGAATTTGGAGTCGCATTTTCCTAGTTTACCTGAACTCGCTAACTTCGAATAGAAGTATCTACACCTCATGAGACCTACGCAGTCACAGATTCCGAACATTTCCCATACTTGACCCTGGATTCATTAGCAGTCAGAGAAACATTTCTAGTGGGTTTCCCATTATTTCTCTTGCTTCTGTGGCTCACCATTTCTGGATCACATTTCCCAGGGGACTCAGGGTCAAGATTGGTGAGAGGGAAAGAGGGAAGAAAAAAAGGAAGAAGATTCTTTACATAAGGTAGCAGTCTGCAATCAGGAAAATTTCAGATATCTAACCTTGGCTCTCCTGCTACAGCCCAGATCCAGTTTATGCTGATTCCATGGGGAAAAAGTTGGTCACCACTTTTCAGGCAACCATCAGTCATAGAGCAAATTGACAGTTTCAAGAAACAAGTCCAAGATTAAAGAAGTTCTTTTTTTTTTTTTTTACAACAACAACCGAAAAATTGAATCCTTTTCTATCCTTTTGGTAATTGCAACCACCCAATAATATCTAGACTGAATCGGCTTATTTAATATATGGATAACAAACCATTAAAAGCTGTGACAGCCAGAGGGAACAATTAGGAGGGGAAAGAAAATGAAGAGCTCTTGAATACATTCAGTTTTGTAAACTCTGTCAGCTAAGTGTTCCCTTTAATTACATTTTTTTTTTGAGACAGAGTCTTGCTCTGTTGCCCAGGCTGGAGTGCAGTGGTATGATCTCAGCTCACTACAACCCCTGCCAACCAGGTTCAAGCAATTCTCCTGCCTCAGCCTCTCGAGTAGCTGGGATTACAGGTGTGTACCACCACATCCAGCTAATTTTTGTGTTTTTAGTAGAGACGGGGTTTCATCATGTTGGCCAGGCTGGTCTCGAACCCCTGACATTCAGTGATCCACCTGCCTCAGCCTCCCAAAGTGCTGGGATTACAGGCATGAGCCATCATCCCCAGATCCTTTAATTACTAGTAATTTTCATAATTGTGTATTAAGCCAATATGTCAATTAAAGTTTTGTCACACATTATTGTGCACATAGAATAATTCATTTTGCAATATTGTAGGGGAGGAAAGGCCAGGTGTATTGGGAATAGATGCATCCCCTTCACACATTCACATCTGACTTTTAAAACTGCTTTCCTTGAGCAGAACTTTATTTTAACGGAATTGATCAGTCATCTTGACAGTGTTTTGGCTCTGAACATTAGCTTCTGAAGCAGTATTTTTACCCACTGGCTGTTTGGAGTGGTGGTGAAATGGGGGACAGAACTGATTTGACAAATCAAGTCAATAAAGCCATCTGACAAGATTCATTATTAGGCTGGGTGTGGTGGCTCACACCTGTAATCCCAGCACTTTGGCATGCTGAGGCAGGCAGATCACCTGAGGTCAGGTGCTCGAGACCAGCCTGTCCAATATGGTGAAACCCCATTAAAAAATTAACCAGGTGTGGTGGCGCATGACTGTAATCCCAGCTACTTGGGAGGCTGAGGCATGAGAATCACTTGAGCCTGAGAGGCAGAGGTTGCAGTGAGCCCAGATTGCACCACTGCACTCCAGCCTGGGTGACAGAGCAAGACTGTCCCAAAAAAGAAAAAAAAAGATTCATTATTAGTATTTTATTAATGCAGCGCAGGTCTTTCTTAGAGTTGAGCGAATCAGGGCCAAGACCCATTTTTTCATCACTTACTACCCTTCTCAAGCCTCAGTTTCCTCATGTAGTTACAGTGGGGTGTCATGAAAGACAGCTGCCTAGTCCTACCTTTCAGGGTTGCCTGGGACCTGAATGAGATAGTGGCAGGGCTTTCCTTAGGGTTCAAAATGCACCAAAAGTTACTATAGGCTTTGCTGTTCACGGGAAGCTATCATTAGCTTACAAACACCAAAAGATCTATCAGGCTTTTCGAGTACATGCCTGGAACAAGTATCTCCCAAGATTTACTAATCTGGCTAATAAAATAGAAATTAAACAGCAATTACCACGGGAGGAAAATCAGATGAATGTAGTGGTGCTTTACCTGAATATTAATGATGAATTAGGAGGTTCCATTCCAAGAATGTGGCAGGACATGCTTTATTGGTTCATCAATAAGGCCCTCATGCTAATGGACTGGCATAAAACATCCTCTGAGGAATCAGCCCTGGCTTTCCCACAAGAGACCATAAACTCAACATAATTTACATGGCACAAAATCTATTTTCTTCCAGTCTGTAAAACAGTAATGAAAAACACCAGGCTTGGTGGGAAAATGAGGATTTAATAGGTCATGGATGAGTATATCACCCCTTTCTTCATTAGGGTTGAAATTCCATGTAATTGTCAGGCCTAGCATTCCCTAGAAGGAACAAATAACATTAAAACACTGGTTTGCACAGGGCCTTCAAGATAAGGCTTATGTACACTGTCCCAGTGTTTGCCGGCCTGTGGGTCAGAGGTTCACATCCCTCGCCTGCTGACCCAGCTCCTAAAGCAGGACACGGGCCCACCGTGTTGCCATGTGTTCTTGCATCATGGCCTCTTCTTGGAAGCCACTGCCTAGTAGCTATTTGATGAGGGCTCCCAGACTCTACATCCTCCCCATGCTTCTGTGGGCATGTGGCAATGCTGTCCCTGATGTGCTGATGTCCCTCAGCACCTCCCCCTGCATGCTGTCCCACAGTATGGGGGAAGGTCCCCTACGCTGTTGAACCTGGTCACTTGGATCCCAGTGCATCCTGCTTGTGTGCAGACTCTTAGCAGGCTTCAGGAACTTCTTGGGCTTTACTATATCTCCTCTCTTCTCTGAGACTCAAGACCAATTCCTTAAACAAGGTTGGGTGACAACACTCATGATTGTCCTCATATCTCCCTTCTTCCCTCTGCCCCTCTACAAACAAACAGATTAATAAATCCTATTTTCCTTCAGCCAATAAAACGAAAGCCACTTTGTATAACAATCTATGAACTCAATGCCTGCGTGAATAACCAGCCCATAACCAAAAAGAGGGACAATAGCAAGTGTTGGCGAGGCTATAGAGAAATTGGAACTCTCCTACACTGCTGCAAATGTAAAATGGTGCAGCCACTTCGGAAAACAGGTTGGCAGTTTCTCAAAATATTCAACATAGAGTTAATGTATGACCCAGCAATTCAATTCCTGCAGACATACCCAAGAAAATTCAAAACGTAACATCCACACTAAAACTTGTACAACATGTTTATAACAGCGTTATTCATAATAGCCAAAAAATGAAAGAACCCAAATTTCCATCAGTTGATGAACAGGTAAATAAAATGGTGTATATGCATACAACGGAATATTATTAAGCTATAAAAAAGAATAATACATGCTACAACATAGATGAAACTTAAACATATTATGCTAAGTTAAAGAAGCCAGGCATAAAGGCCACATATTGTGCATCAAACAATATTGAAGCCTCAAAAAGGCTGCCGTACTCTCAAATACTTCCCACCTACTTTCTGATGCCTGAAATTCCACTGTGGAGTTGGATTTTTGGCTAAGTAGTTTAATAGTTTGCTCTCACCTTCCACATTCAAGGGGTACTCTCTGCAACCAATCTTGTCTCTAAATGAAGACTAGTATAACACAACGCATTCTCCCTTCAATAGGTGTCAGACTATAATGGTTTGATGGAAGAGTTGCAAAAACAAAAACAAAAACAGAAAGAAATTCTGCATTTGACCTGAAATCAGAGGTTGTTTACTCTCCTTTTCTGAATTTGAATAGAAAGTTTGAAAGACATCAGACATGTTGCACCACTGCACTCCAGCCTGGACAACAGAGCGAGACCCTGTCTCAAAAAAATTTTTTTAAATAAATGTTTAAAATGAAGGATACCAGATATGCATGTGGCATGTAGTAGAAAATGCAATGAAACTTGTAAGTGTGATGTAGTCATTTAATTGTTCAAAATTTTGTTGGAAGCCTCTATGTACAAGAGATAGGGCTCAGAGTCACCTGGAAAAAGGCATTATTGATAAGAAAAAATAAATGGATTTTGGAGCTGAAATGTCTAGATTTGAAGTCCACTTCTACACATGACTTTGAGCAAGTTATAGAAGCTTTATGTGTGATTTCTTCACTTGTAAAATGGGGATAACAATAGTACCTACCTCATAGTATAATTGTAGAAGTTAAGTGAATTAATGCATACAAAGCTTTGCTTTTTCCTTTTTTAATAGAGATGGAGTCTCACTGTGTTGCCTAGACTGGTCTGGAACTCTTGAGCTCAAGTGATCCTCTCACACTGGCCTTCCAAAGTGCTAGGATTACAGGCATGAGCCACTGCCCCCAGCCTGCAAGCAAAGCTTTTAGAACATTGCCTAGCATATATTAAGCATTAGTTGTTGTTTTTTCTTTTCTTCTCTTTTGAGACAGGGTCTCACTCTGTCACCTAAAATGGAGTGCAGTGGGGCCATCATGGCTCACTGAAGCCTCGACCTCCCAGGCCCAAGTGATCCTCCCACCTCAGCCTCCAAGCAGCTGGGGCGGCAGTTGTATGCCACCACACTTGGCTAATTTTTATTTATTTTTTGTGGAGATGGGGTCTCACTATGTTGTCCAGGCTGGTCTTGAACTCCTGAGCTCAAGAGACCTTCCTGTCTCAGCATCCCAAAGTGCTGGGATTACAGCTGTGAGCTACCATGCCCGGCCAGTTGTTGTTTCTGAGGATGGTGACGGAACTGCCCTGAAGTTAGTTGCATCCTTTCCATGGAAGCCTGTTGGGAAAAGTCTAAGAGGCCTAAAGTTGAAGTGAACAGGTGAGCTCTCTTCACCCACTACATTCCCTCTACTTTCCCCAAAGCCTGTGTTAGGCAGGCCCCAGCCCAATCAGAGGCAGGTGGATCTCGGAGTGTGGCATGTTCTGAGCCACTCAGAGCTTTTTTGATAGGTTCCAAAAAAAGAGTTACAAAGGGTGGCCCCAGAGCCTGGTTGTCTCTTCTCCAGTCCCAAGATAGATAGTTTGCCTCCAATTATCCCCTACATCATGACAAGCATAAGGAGAATTGCAAGGAACATTCTGGACTCTACTCTTATGCCCTTCTTTATAAGCAGAAGAACCAAATCTTGGCACTGTTTTTAGTACTTTTGGCCAGTATGACAGAACAGGACACTAAGTGGCAATCAAAATAACCCTTCCCACCCCTGGCCCTATCACCCTATATCATGTTGCTAATTTCTCCGCTTTGAAGAAAATCTTCTTCATTGGAGAAATGAAGCTCTGTTGCTCATATACTTGTTTGTTGGAATGTTGACTTGTTTGCATTGTAGAATAAGGGCTCCAGGAGGGCAGGATCCTTGTCATCTTCCTTGTTACTGCTGTAACCCCAGCATCTGGAACAGTGCCTGTTACACAGTAGGCACCCAGTGAACATTTCTGGAATAAATGAATGGTACCCCAGTGCTCAGCACTGTGCCCTTGCTGTTGATGGGCTTTTGCCAATGATCACCTCTCAGTCTCCAATCCTCCCTGTTGGAATTTGTATCCTGGCTTTCCCTCTGAGCCCCTGCTTCTGGAGCCCCTGAACAGTGAGGGGCAGATCAGAGGACCTCCCTATCTCCCCAACATCATCTACTTGTACCTGGAATTGACTCTTCCCCTATGCTAAGACATTCATCATTTTTTTAGAAATTTGGGTTTGGGACTCAGAGACTCTGGTTCCTAAGTCGAAGTCAGTGCTTAAAATGAGAGAGTGGAGTGGTCTGGTCTCATGTATGATCAAAGCAGAGGAGCCTGTATGCAACTGAAGAGAAGAATAAAACTAACTGCAGAGAGGATGTGAGGAGATGAGAGGAGAAGAGGGAAGTAGGGAGAGAGCGAGAGAGTCTGGGCAAGTGAACTTGCTGATTTGAGTGTGCTGGTTTTTCAGTTTTTCACCTAGTCCCTGGAGACCTGGCTGTACTCTTCCAGACATACTTCCAGACTTGGCTATTTCTTTCAATTCACATTAGTTTGGTTGGTTTCTATTTCTTGCAAACAAATAATGTCTAATGACAAAATCCTACCACATAGGAGCCATCCTCAAAATATTTGCTGACTTGAATGCATTTTTCTTTTTTCTTCCCTTTTCTTTCTTTCCTTTTTTTGGAGACAGGGTCTTGCTCAGTCGCCCAGGCTGGAGTGCAGTGGCACAATCACAGTGGCTCACTGTAGCCTCAACCTCCTGGGCTCAAGTGATCCTTCTGCCTCAGCCTCCTGAGTAGCTGGGACTACAGGCACACACCACCACATCTGGCTAATTTTTTTATTTTTTTATGTAGAGACAGGGTCTCACTACATTGCCCAGGCTAGTTTCGAACTCCCGGGCTCAAGTGATCCTCCTGCTTTGGCCTCCCAAAGTATTGGGATTACAGGCATGAGCCACCACGCCCGGCCACATATTTCACTCATTCATTTGTTAATTTAGCAAGTATTTATTGAGCTGGTCTCTGGGCTAAAAGGTAAAGGGACACAGATATGCAAAAACTAGACACTGTCCTGCCCTTGTGGAATTCTAGCAGGAATGACAGCTATTAATCAAATAAAGACAAGAAGAGACATAATGAATTTAACTTTGTAGCACATGCTGCCTACTATGTACCAGGAATGGTGTTGGGCTAAACAAAGACACCTAAGCCATAATTGAGATGATGGACAGCATGGTCTGCTCAGAATAGGGAATACTCATAATATTGTTTATTGAAGAGCTGATACATACTTTATCTGATTTTACCTTCAAAATGATTCCATGAGATTGGTTTTAGAATATGCCCATTTTATAGGCAAGCTAGTAAAACTAGGCCTCGCCAGGGTTAAGTGACTTATCCAAAGTAAACAAGGCCCGCCGGGCGCTGTGGCTTATGCCTGTAATCCCAGCACTTTGGGAGGCCGTGGCGGGTGGATCGCTTGAGCCAGCAGTTTGAGATGAGCCTGGGCAACATGATGAAACCCCATCTCTACTAAAAATAACAAAAATTAACTAGGCATGGTGTGGGTAGTTGAGGATGCAGTGAGCTGTGATGGCGTCACTGCACTCAGTCTGGGTGACAGAACAAGACTGTCACCAAAAAAAAAAAAAAAAAAGAAAAAAAGAAAACGAGGTTGGACAGAGGCAGAGCCAGAATTGAAAGGCAGTCTTCTGTCTCCAAAGCCCAGGGTTTTTCATTTTCCTCCTCCACAGAATATTGCCTCTTCCATGAGACAGTAAGTGTGGAAGAATAATACACATCGTACAACCCTGCAGAAATGAGGCAGAAGGCATCCAGGCAGGACTGGGCTGTGCTATTTTTAGGATAATCTCTGCCAAAACAATGCAAGCAGCAAAGGAAAGAGGAATTTAATCAGCTCCCTCTGCTGAAGCTACTACAGTGTGGGTCTCAGCGGGTCTATCTGCAGTGCTGTATAAATGCCCGGGGTCTCGCAGGGAGACAGGGTGGATGGCTGAAGTTTGTGAGATCTGCGGTCTCATACCCAAATTGCCCAGACAGCCAGGGTCTGGTGCCCGAGTTTTATATTCAGGCACTGCAGTGAAACGATAAACAGCCTGGTCACAGAGCTTCCCAGACGCTCAGACCAGAATCAACCAAGCTCATCACAGCTCACGATTACGTGAAAGGACTCGGCTAAACCACGCACTCCTGACGGAATCTTATTTTCCTCCCCTATCATCTCACATTACGGACAGAAAGGATAGAAATAACCTTCTCAGAGCTGTGAAAACGAATGTCAATAAAACCCCCAGAGCTCCCTCGGTGCTTTGGAAGCAGTAACACTGTCTTCAGACAAATCTTTCCTCGGAAGAAGACAAGATCGTGAACTAGCTGGGGTTTTCATTTGGCTTTACAAGACCAAGCCCAGCAAGGAGCAAGGGGAAGAGCTGCCAGGGCTTTAGCAGCCCGAAATATCTCCACACCCACTGCTGGTGCCTGAAATTCCACCAGGAGACTTGCATTCCTGGCTCAAGATGTTGCCTTTCGTGATGCTATTTCTGGACTTTGCCTGGGTTCACACCTGAAAGCACACATTAAAAGAAATTCTGCGCATTCTGCGGTTGTGTTTCTCAAAGCGCGGTCTGCAGAGCCACCTGCATCAGCAGCGACTTTATCAGATTAAACATCTAGATGACTGGACCCCACTCCAGGCTGGAAGAATCTATACTTCAGGGAGTCAAGCTTCAGGAAACTTCGTTTTAAACAGGCACTCCTGTTAATTCTTAAGGGCAATAAAGCTCGAAAACCATGGTTCTATACTGTGTGTTTTCCTATCAGTATGCCCGAATACATTGCACATAAATAACTGGTTCTAACATCTTGTCCCTCTAGATCAAGTGTTCTCAACCTCAATGCTATCAACATTTTAAGCCCAGTGATTCTTTGTGTAGGGGAAAAGAGATTTTTCTGTGCATTATGAGATGTTTAGCACCATTCCACTAGATATCAGTAGTAACACCAAAAGTTATCAGTAGTAATTTTTGGTCGTGACGACCAAAAATAGCTCCAAGCATTGCATTGATAAATGGCCCCTGGGGAACAGAAAATCCCCTCCTCTGGGGAGTGAGAAGTATGTTTTAGGTAAATGGCTCCTAGCCTTAACTACACATTAGAAACCCTCAAGGGTCTTTTAAAAACTTGGATCATTGGGGTCCTGCCCCAGGAAACTTATTTTACAAATCTAGACATCTATATTTGTAAAAATTTCCCAGGTAATTCTAAACGGCCAGAGTTGAGAACCACTGCCCTAGGTGGATGCTTGAAGGCAAGGGTCCATGTATGTGTTTGTGATTTCATGGAATGTACAAACACCCAAGGCACAAGATGGGATTACTTGAGCACCTGTGTACCATCAGGACCCAGCTAGGACAATATAAGCTACCACTTCTGAAGCTAGCAAATAGACAACGTCAGCCAAATAAATTACAAATTCCCTCCCACCCTACCCCAGATATAACCTAAGTTAGTCAAATTGTAGTTAAGACTAGACCTTTTCTTGACGGCTGGGGGAATAGATGATTTTATTTCCACTAGATGATACCATATGGAGATGTGACAGCTGGAAAAGCTGATATCATTTTGCCACCATCAAGGAAGTCAGCCAAAAAATGAAAAGGACACTCCAAGGAGGGCAGCACCAAGAGAATCACAGAGAAACAGAGCTGGAGACTTGGTGAAATTGTGTCTGAATTCCAATCTGTCACAGGCCTCTTCATTTGCAAAATAAATCACCCTTATTTTTTAAGTAAGTCATTTTGATCTGGGGTTTCCCTTACTTGCAACCAAAAGCATCCTCATTGATGTATTGCTCGAAGCTAATATCCTCTTGCAACTATGTTATATTGCTAAGAGTCTTGCTACTCAAAGTGTAGCCCTTGGGCCAGCAGCCTCAAAATCACATGGTAGCAGTTTAAAATGAAGAATCTCAGGCTCCTCTCCAGATCTACTGAATCAGAAGCTGCATTGTAACAAGATTTTCGAGGACTGGTACAAACATCAAAATTTTAGAAGTACCTGCTTAGATAACGGATCTCTCAAGCACTGGGCTAGGTGATAGGGAGACAATGATAAGCAAAAGCTGGACATCGTTATTGGCTTCCCTAATTTGATTAGATGCCCTGTTACATACTCAGTAACACCTCTATTTCATCCATCCATTCATTCTTTCACTCATTCTACAAAGATATATTTAGCACTACATTTATAAATTTAACAAAATTTAAAATATTTAAAAGTGAGCAAAAAAAGAGAGAGGGGAATAGTCCCTATTCTTAAAAAGCTCACTGTCTATTTGAGGAGACAGTTATCACTTATTCACATAAATAAATGTTAAGTGCCAATTATGTAACTACTACACTGGAGAGGTACATGAGGCCTGATCAGGGTGGTCAGGCACAGTTACCCCAGGAAGACCAGAAGGGTGTGTTGGAAGGATGGGGATGGTAAAGAGGAAAGTACCCAAGTCAGAAGGAGAGGATGATGTGTAAGTCCCTCCATGGAGAAAGGAGCAGGATTAACCCAGTGAGCTGCCACAAGAACAGAGAGCATGGGGTGCAGAGAGTTGGGCATGGAACTTCATGATGAGCTTAAAGGGGTGGCTAAGGGTCAGGCTGTGTAACACATTACAAGCCAAGTTAGAGTTATTTTTTTCCCTTGAACCGCAAACTAATAGAAAGCAAGTGATGCATTTAAATACATTGCTTGCTAGCATGGCCCAGCTCGTCTCTTGGTAGTGAGACACAACCTGAGCTGGGCTCCCAATGCCTTTTGTTCTTATCTCCCCCACTCCCTGCCCCCTGCTTCCCTCGTAACCTAGCAGAGTAGACCAGCTTTGCTTAGCATGCCCACAGCCCGCTTGTTATTGGAGGTGGTAGGCAGAATGGAGTAGTGGAGTAAGGCTGACTTGGCACATACCTTCTTTGCTATGAGTGCCACAATGGCAGGAACTACATGTAACATCGTCATCACTCTGCACTCAGCACTCCACAGCATTCCCTGGCCCAGAGAAGGATGTGAAAAAATATGTGTTGGGTGAATAGCCTAGCCTAGGTTCCTTAACTTTAGTGAGGCTCAGCTTCCTTGTCTGTAGAATAGCATAAGGACAGTACCTGCTTCCCGGTGTGGCATTAGAACGTGACTATGTAAGTACATAGCACAGTGCTAGGCACCTGCCCCATGTGTCCCCCATTCCATACAGGCACAGACACCCAAAAGGGACCCCAAAGGAAAGACAGTAGGAGCAGCTGGGTTCCCACTACCAGCCTCTGCAATCTAAAACAGAGGGTCTATCAAATATCCAATAAGTCCTGAAAAATCCAGATGATTTTGTGAATGGATGAAGAGATGTCTTCATTTACTACTTCTTATACTTCTAATGTCCAGCCAGTCCAGGGGACAAGCTACTTCATTTACTATTATCTCATAGCTTCTAATACAGCCCAAACTCATCCTGTTAATTACTGCTCCTCCAAGTGCCATGATATATATATATATATATATATATATATATATATATATATATATATATATATCTCATTACATATATATATCATGATATATATATTTTTATATATATCATTATATATATTTTATATATATATATATATATATCATTATATATATATATTTTTTTGTCTTGAGATAGAGTCTTGCTCTGTTGCCCAGGCTAGAGTGCACTGGGGTAATCTCAGCTCACTGCAACCTCCGCCTCCCAGGTTCAAGCCATTCTCATGCCTCAGCCTCCTGAGTAGCTGGGATTACAGGTGCCCACCAGCATGCCCAGCTAATTTTTGTATTTTTAGTAAAGACAGGATTTCATCATGTTGGCCAGGCTGGTCTTGAACTCCTGACCTCATGAGATCTGCCCTCCTTGGCCTCCCAAAGTACTGGGATTAAAGGTGTGTGCCACCATGCCCGGCCTATGTTATATATTTTTTAAAGTTAATACTTTTGTTGTTCTAGTGGCTCAATCACTACCTTTTAATAAAGTCACCTTTGTACCTTTAGATCTTCTGGTTTGGGAGCTTTGAGACAGGACTTTGACATGGCCAGAATTTCCATCTTCTGTGTCTTTGTATTGATCCATGCATTAGGAGCCTATGAACCTTGAAAAGCCCCACGTTTGGTCACAGAATAAACATAGGTTGGCCAAGCAGCACCTTCCCTAATCTTTCTCCTCCCCACCCATGGACTCTGTCATATGACCTTGGATAAATTACTTAACCTGTCCATATCTCAGTTTCCTCAACAGGAAAACAAGGATCACAAGAGTCATGGTGGAATGGTGAAGAGCTAAGTGACTTGCAGTGTGCCTCAGACAGTCCAAGACTGTGCCTGTTATCCTGGTGTCATTATCAAATTGCCCCAATCTAGAGGATAAATTATATAGTTATCTTATTAGGAGCACACATTTTACAGTTGAGCAAAGGTTTGATTTGAATGACAATTTAGTCCCTTAGTGTCATTACTTGACCTCTCTGTACCTCAGTTTGTTTACCTGGACAATGGCAATAATCATATGTTATTTTCTTCTAAGGGTTATTATAGGAATAAATGAAAACAAAACACGTAAGAGCACAATGAACTCTAACTGCTATTACCCTCAGCCTCCACATGGGAGGTTCTATTAGTCAGGACTGTCAGTTTCAATTGTGAGAAATATACCTCAAAGTAACATATGAGGCAAAGAAAATTTGTTGGCACATAAAACAGATGTCTGGGGTTTTGCTAGCTTCTGGCTGCTAGGGTCAGGTGCTTGAATTATGTCATCCCTAACCTGTGTTTTTCTTCCATCTTTCAGTTCTTTTTCCCTCCATGCTGGCAATATTCACCAAAAGGCTGTCCAGGGTGAAAAAGTTAGGCACTCCTAAGCTGCCTAACTCCAGCTCCTGAAAGCTCCAGACTTAACATAATCCTGACAGTTCCTGATAAATAAAGAGATACTTTATTTTCTAGAGTCCATGTCACTCCTTGGAAAAAAAACTCTGAGTGGCCCCAATGGGTCATGGACCCACTTATCCCCATGTCCACAGAGATGGGGCATGTTGTTTATCCAGCCTGAGTCACACCGCACCCCACAGCAAAGGAAGCAGGTGCTCTTGATTACATCCTACAGTGTTGGGGAGAGAAGGTTCCCCAGAAGGAATAAAGGATAGATTTTTAAAAACTAACAGATGGCTACCATGTCTGTCCTTGACAAATGATTGTTAAGATGCATTCAAACCCTAATGCTCCTATGTTGAGAAAGTGGTCTCTGGTAGACACGTAAAGTTTATTTTGTCCAGGCACAGTGGCTCATGCTTGTAATCCTAACACTTTGTGAGACTGACACAGGAAGATCACTTAAGCCCAGGAGTTCGAGACCAGCCTGGGCAACATCTCTACATTTTAGAAGATCAATTCTATAAAGAACCAGGAAGAAGAAAATGAAGGAATAAAAGGAAACTAATTCCTTTTTCAATATGGTAGAAAGGTATGAGAGGTAACTCACAGCTGAGAATGTATCTTCACAATGTGCTGTCAGCACAGCTTATTCTCCATTTATCCAACACATTCATTGTCCTTTGCTCTTCACCATGCCCAGTGAGTCAAGGCCAGCCTCTTAGGAGGGCCTAAGGCTTTCACTGGGTTGAGACTAGGAGGGAGAAAGGAAAGCTAGGGTGCTTCCCCTCTGTCCTCAGCCCTCCATCCTCGCCATGGTCCTGTCAGCCCCAAGCTTTCCCCAGGCTCTGGAAACATGTTCCCATTCCTTTTGCCTTTGTGTCTACGGGTGGTAACAGCTTCCCAGTTCCTAGCCCCTGGGTGCTTTATCATGCCCTGGTGGTTCCTTAACCCTGCTCACTTCTCTCCACAAATGTTAAATTCCATTTGACTCTCCTTTTTTAAAAATCTTGAGTGTCCCCATCAAAAAGTGGGCAAAGGAAATGAATAGACATTTCTCAAAAGAAGATATACAAATGAAGAACAAACATATGAAAAAATGCTCAACATCATTAATCATCAGAGAAATGGAAGTTAAAACCACAGTGACATACCACCTCAGTCCTGCAAGAATGGCCATAATTTAAAAGTCAAAAAACAGCCGGGCATGGTGGCTCACGCCTATAATCCCAACACTTTGGGAGGCTGAGGTGGGCGGATCACGAGGTCAGGAGTTCCAGACCAGCCTGGCCGACAGGGTGAAACCCCATCTCTACTAAAAATACAAAAATTAGCTGGGCATGGTGGTACACGCCTGTAATCCCAGCTACTGGGGAGGCTGAGGCAGGAAAATGGCTTGAACCCAGGAGGCGGAGGTTGCAGTGAACTGAGATCGTGCCACTGTACTCCAGCCTGGGTGACAGAGCAAGGCTCTGTCTCAAAAAAAAGAAAAAGTCAAAAAACAATAGATGTTAGTGTGTATGTGGTGCAAAGGGAAGGCTTTTACATTGCTGGTGGGAATGTAAATTAGTACAACCTCTGTGAAAAACAGTATGGAGATTCCTCAAAGAACTAAAAGTAGATCTATCATTCGATCCAGCAATCCCACTACTAGGTATCTACTCAAATGAAAAAGATATCATTATATTTAAAAGGACACATGCACACACATTTATAGCCGCACAGTCCACAAGTGCAAAGATATAAAACCAACCTGAGTGTCCATCAACCAACGAGTGAATAAAGAAAATGTGGGTTGAGCATGGTGCCTCACACCTGTAATCCCAGCACTTTGGGAGGCTGAGGTGAGTGGATCACTCGAAGCCAGGAGTTCGAGACCAGCCTGGCCAACATGGTAAAACCCCATCTCTACAAAAAATAAAAAATTATCTGGACGTGGTGGTGAGTGCCTGTAGTCCCAGCTACTTGGGAGGATGAGGCGGGAGGATCGCTTGAACCCAGGAGGTTGAGGTTGCAGTGAGCTGACATCATGCCACTGTACTCTAGCCTGGGAGACAGAGCAAGACTCTGTTCTGAAAAAAAGAAAAGAGAAAAGAAAAGAAAAGAGGGACGGGGAGGGCAGGGGAAGGGAGGGGAGGGGAGGGGAGGGGAGGGGAGGGGAGGGGAGGGGAGGGGAGGGAAGGGAAGGGGAGGGAAGGGAAGGGAAGGGAAGATACATCGTGGAATACTTCTCAGCCATAAAAGGGAATGAAACAATGTCATTTGCAGCAACTTGGATGGAGCTGGAAGCCATTATTCTAAGTGAAGTGACTCAGGAATGGAAAACCAAATACTGTATGTTCTCACTTATAAGTGGGAGCTAAGCTACTAGGCCGCAAAAGCATAAGACTGATGTAATGGACTATAGTGGGGAGAGTGGGAGGTGAGTGAGGGATAAAAGACTACATAGTGAGTACAATGTACACTGCTTGGGTGATGAGTGCATTAAAATCTCAGAATTCGCCACTACAAAATTCGTCCATGTAACCAAAAACCATTACAACCCCAAAGCTATTGAAATTTTTAAAAAAATCCTGAATGTGCCATCTGTTTATAGCCAAGACTTTGACCCATTAATTAGAACTAATGTAATTTATTAGAATTTGAATTAATGTCATTACAGTTACATTAGAAAACTAATGCTTTGCTTATATTAGTTTTCTCTTCCCCCCATATGTACAAATAATACATATTCATATAGAAAAAATATGAAAATATAAAAAAAGCAGAATCTTACCACCTAGATGTGATGATTACTCACATTTTGGGATATAACTTTCCATATTATATTCTTTGTGTGTAAATACATATACACACAGGTTTTTTTATATAGCAAAAGTGGAATAATTATTAGATTTTTATCTTTTTTTTTTTTTTGAGACTGAATCTCGCTCTGTCACCCAGGCTGGAGTGCAGTGGAGTGACCTTGGCTCACTGCAACCTCTGTCTCCCGGGTTCAAGCGATTCTCCTGCCTTAGCCTCCCAAGTAGCTGAGGTTACAGGTGCCTGCCACCACACCCGGCTAATTTTTGTATTTTTGGTAAAGACAGGGTTTCACTATTTTGGCCAGGCTGGTCTTGAACTCCTGACCTCAGGTGATCCACCAGCCTCAGCCTCCCAAAGTGCTGGGATTACAGGTGTGAGCCACTGCGCCCAGCCAATTATTAGATTTTTAAACGGAAAATTCTCAAAAATAAAATATGTGTAAAAACGGTCTACTTTCATGTTAAACAGGTAATAGAAAGTTAATGTTTTTAGATTAAACTTTAATCACACAAAAGTTAACTTTATGTTTGTAGAACGTTATTATTAGTTATTTGCTTTTTTTCAAAACAATTACAAAATAATTACTTTTAAAGTTTTCATTTGTAAACAAAACACTCTGAAATTTTACTCAGGCGAGGAAAAATAAATGTGAGGAATATTTTTGGATTTGACTAGTTTTCAGCGATTTTCTTTAACTGTCATAATAGTGGGGAAAAAAGAAAATTGAAATAAGATGGAACACCTTCTAATTTCTATTTCCATCTGTTTATTTAGCTTTAAATGAGAATACAAAATTTTTCCTAGGCACTTCACTTTTTATAACTTTAAAAAGTTGCCAATACTGATTAGTATTTAAAAAAAAACAAAAGTTATATATTGTACACTCTGAATCAAATGCTGATTCAGCAATGCTTTTTAAACAAAGCAGAAGGATTTGGGACCCTGTCCCCTATCAAGAATTATCTTGTAACTAGACTCCCTTGCATGGCTGAAACCAATCACAAATGCTATTCTCACCAGTTGGTACTTCCACAAATGCAATAAATTTGAAGGCCACTTTAGAACCTGATATGGTGTCCTTTGAAATAAGTATGACTGCCTTTATTGGCCCAAGTTATTCAGAGTGATCTAGGATAACAAAGTGTTTATCCACCAGAACGACTGGGAACATTCACTCATGCAAACCTTATGAGCCGTTCAGACTCCATGTAATCATTTATGTGATCTGGTGTCTTCACTTTCTCCTTTCACATGATATTCATTGCTCCTCTCTCATAGCTTCTAATATTGCTCAGAGAAGACAGGGGAAATATAGATTTTTTTTTCATTGTTAATAAACAGTCCCCAGCCCCATTAATTCAGTTTTCCAATCCATTGATTTTACAGTAATTCTTAAGGGATTTCTTCTGGCATGCATCATTTCTCTGACTCACCCACCACTCCCTCGTGGCTCTGAAAAAGTCTCAGCCTGGATGTAAACCTTACTTCTTTGGCGTGGCCTTCCTCAGTTGCAAAGAGAACTGCTAGGTCAGCCAGACATCTGACTCTTTCACCTATGCAGTTCTTGTAAATGTTGTCTAGAGTCATGATCTCCACATTTTCTCAGAACTTTATGATTATTAGAGTTTTGAAGTCATGCTTAAAGAAATAAAAAGACACTCAATGAGTTAGCAATGATTGCAATGCACTGTCTACTCCAGTCAGTCTAACATCTGGTGGGGTCCATGAACGTGTGCACAATGATCACTCTATTTTCTCAGCCTCGGTGCAACCTCCTTTACTTCCAGGACTTGGCTCTCAGAAACCTCACATTCTGCATACATCCCAGTAGACAATCTTTGGCATTATGGTATGCTTCTTACCACTCGTTAGTACCAAATTGTACTCCACACACACCACAACCAGCTAATCCTCAGCTCAGCATTCTGACAGATACTCTGTGTTCTCAGTTGATGCAAAATAAATTGTACCCAGTGGGCAAAATCTAGGCCCTAACTGAGAAGTGCTTGGGGAACACCAGTGTGCTATATCATGCTCACTGACAACCACGGGTCTAGAGTTTGATGTTACCAAGACTGATTTTCACTGTCTTTATTCCAAAAAAGAGGCCCAAATCTTCCTCCAGGATTGTGGTGTTAGAAACTGTACTTACACTCAGGCTAAAGATAACCCAGTTCCAGCCACAGTGACATTGTTTTGGTTCCTGAACTTGCAGGCTTGCAGTCTTGGCTCAGTCTCTTCCCTCTGCTTGGATACGCTGCCCAGAGATCTTGATACAGTTGGTTCCTTGTTATCATTCAGGTCTCAGCTTGAATATGAGCTTCTCATAGAGGCCTTTCCTAACTATTGAAAGTAGCTCACCCACTTATATTTGTTCTCTATCATATTACCCCACTTTGTGTATTCATGTGTGATTAACATCTGAAATTACTGTATTTTCTTATTGTCAGTGTTAGCTTCACAGGCCAACAAAGTGTGCAGTCTCTCAGGACACTGTGCCTACTTAGAAGGACTCCCCACTTGGTTTAAGGCTTTGCTGTTCTCATCTTAAAGTTATTAATTTTGTTTTTGAGACAGGGTCTTACTCTGTTGCCCAGGCTGGAGTGCACTGGCACGATCTCAGCTCACTGCAGCCTCTGCCTCCCAAGCTCAAGCAACCCTCCTATCTCAGCCTGAATAGCTGGGACTACAGGTGTGTACCACCACCCCCAGCTAATTTTTGTATTTTTTGTAGACATGAAGTTTTGCTATGTTGTCCAGACTGGTCTCGAACTCCTGGTCTCAAGCAATCTACCCACCTTGGCCTCCCAAAGTCCTGGGATTACAGGCGTGAACCACTGTTCCCAGCCAATAATTTTTTTTTTAAACGAGGGACCTCATTTGCATTTTGCATCACAAATTAGGTACCATTCCTGCTTATTGTTTATTGCCTTTCTCTTTGATATTAGAAATTAAGTTCCAGAAAAGGAGGGATCTGAACTTTTGGCTCAATAATTGTGTTGCCAGCACGTAGAGCACTACAGGGAACACTGCAGTTGCTCAGTAAGTATTTGTTAAGTTCAACAGAATTGTCACATGACCCAGCAATTTTGCTCATAGGTATATACCCAAAATAATTGGAAACAGGTGGTGAAAACCATACCTGTACACAAATGTTATACCAGCACTATTCACGATAGCCAAAAGGTAGAAACAACTTAAATGTCCATCAACAAATGAATAGATAGACAAATTGTGTTATGTTCATACAATGGATATAATGGATAATGGCAATTTTTTTTTTTTTATTATTCAGCCATGAAAGAAAATTGTAGGAGAGGAGAGATTTATTTTCTAACCCATTGCTAGGTTCATAGCTGAGGCGCTTGCAATAAAAGACAGCTTAGGCTGGGCACAGTGGCTCACATCTTAATCTCAGCACTTTGGGAGGCTGAGGCAGGAAGATCGCCTGAGGCCAGGAGTTCATGACTGGCCTGGTCAACATAGTGAGATCCCATCTCTACAAAAAATAAAAAGAAAGATTGGCCAGGCATAGTGGTGCTGCCTGTAATCCCAGCTACTCAGGAGGCTGAGGTGGGAGGACTGCTTGAGCCCAGGAATTTGGGGTTACAGCAAGCTAAGATCACACCACTGTACTCCAGCCTGGGTGACAGAGGCAGACCCTGTCTCAAAAAAAGAGAAAAAACAGCTTAACAAGAGAATAGCATACAAATTTTATGTGATATGGGAGACTTTTTAAATGAAAAACCAAAAAAACAGGGAAACCTATGCATTTTTGTGCTTAGGTTTGATGACAAATGGATAGTCAGGCAGCAGTACCATTGGACAAAAGGGGTGTAAACTGATAGTAATCAACTAGGGAGAATTTAGCAAGGCCTGTTTGTTCAGGTTCTTCTCCGAGTTCCTGTGTCCTTAGAGACAGGGCATTTTTCTCTGAGTATAGTGTGGCCATCTCTGGAATGAGGGCCTTATGCCCTACTTCAGGAGAAGATAAAAAAAAATTCTTTTATAGTCTACTTCAAAGGTGAAGGGTGGGAGGAAGGTCAGAGAGAACTTCCTGCTTCTGCAGTGTTCTCAAATGCCAAGGTGCCATATTTTAGGGTAGTGGGTCCTGAACACCATCAGAATGAAGTACTGATACTGATACATGCGATGGCCTGGATGAACCTCAAAAACATTACACTAAGTGAAAGAAGCCAGACACAAAAGATCATATCTTCCATGATTTTATTTACATGAAGTGTGCAGAATAGGTAAATCTAGAGAAGCAGAAAGCAGATTGGGAGTCACCCAGAGGCTGGAGTGGGGTTGGGGAGTAACTGCCAAATAGGTATGGGGTTTAATTTTGGAGTGATGAAAATGTTTCAGAATTGAAGACAGTGGCTGCACAATATTGTAAATGCACCAAATGCCACTGACTTGTTCACTTTGAAATGGTTAATTTGTGTTATGCAAGTTTCATCTCAATTTAAATAAAGGAAAGTGAAAATAAATAAATATTTGTTGAACTACATATTGATAGAACTTGTTTCAGAACTCTCTGCCATGACTAAATCTAAAGTATTCTTAATCCAGCCTAGGGCTTCAACAACTTCCATCCACAGCTTTGAGTCTGCAGGAAGAAAAGAATACATTCAAGACCGGCGCAGTGGCCCACGCCTGTAATCCAGTACTTTGGGAGGCCAAGGTAGGCAGATCAAGTTGAGGTCGGGAGTTCGAAACCAGCCTGGCCAACATGGTGAAACCCTGTCTCTAATAAAAAATACAAAAATCAGCTGGGTGTGGTGGCATATGCCTGTAATCCCAGCTACTCGGGTGGCTGACGTAGGAGAATCACTTGAACCCAGGAAGTGGAGGCTGCAGGGAGCCAAGATCATGCCACTGCACTGTAGCCTGGGTGACAGAATAAGACTCTGTCTCAAAAAAAAAAAAAAATTCACACTATTTCAAAGATTTGCTTTCATCAAGATGACACAGGACATCATTATCATCCTCATGACAATCCTATTTCTATTAGTTTTTTGTCTTATGCAATTATTTGAAAACTTTCTTTGGTAGGAGTTGAGTGTGGTGGTACATGGCTGTAGTCGCAGTTACTTGGGAGGCTGAGGCAGACATATTTCTTGAGCCCTCGAGGCCAGACCACATATGCAGCAAGACCCCAGCTCGAGAAAATTAGAAAAAAATATTTGGTAATTATTGAAGATGTACATGTAATTATAAAGAATTATACAGAGAGATCTCGTGTGCCCTTCACCCTGTTTCCCCCAATGCTAACAACTTGCAACACTATAGAATACTATGGCAACAAAGAAATTGACATAAATACAATCTGTCTACCTCATTTGGATTTCACTGTTTTACACGTGCTCATTTGCGTGTGTGTGTGTGTGTGTGTGTCCTGTTTCTATACTGAAGTGTAACAATAGCTCCTTTCAGTACTGTAGTCTGTTGACTAGTAAGAAATTTCAGAGAGCTGGTGGCACCACCACAGTAACCACAAGTAAGTGACCCAGAGCAGAAGTTAAAAGCAAGAAACATTTCTAAAGTCTTGCAAGGGACTTGGCAGTCCGGAACCTGTTAGTTCAATCATGCCTTTGACATTCACTTGACCCTTTTAGTACTGCAGTTGTTAAAAGGGCTGGCATGCATTTTGTTTAATTCAACAGATGGAGGGATGTGATACAGTAAGAATTCCTTCTGTCATCTGAGAAACTGGGAAATTTGAAAGTGTAAACATAGAGTGGTAGCATTAAAAAGACAGGTGCCGATAAGGTAGTTTTACTTATGAAGAATATTTGCTAGTCCTGCCTGCTAATAGATTTAACTTGGAACAGAAACCTCAGGTGAATGAACAGATTTACGGACATTTTCTAGTTTTTACCTCAGCGTGCATCCTGTATGTTAGTTGAATTCATTCGAAGGTTCTAGTGAATGATCCTTTCTGAAGTGCACTGGTTGAAGGATTAGAAATCCCATTTTGCCTACCTGGCTTCCACACCACCTTCCTGTGTTAGTAGCATGTGGATTTTTTCTTTGAGGAGCCACCCTCTCCTAGTCTAGCTGTCTTGGTGATGCTATCCACAAACTCCACCAACCCCTGCCCTAAACTCAGGGCTCACAGGATGAGCACATGACTCAACGGAATACACATTCCATTCTTCCACCTCTAATCATTGGTTCAGAAAAGGCGCATATCCAAAATTGGTCAAGAGATGTAATTCCTGATCTTTTGCTAGAATAACAAAGAACCTCTTTCCATTGTACTTGCAAGTGTTAATACATAGGCATGGAGCATCTGAACACCAGTAATGAGAGCATCCTGCAAATGAAGCCACCATGAAAGAGAACAGACCTGACAGCCATTCTGAGCACTAGAACCAGCCATACCTGAAGCTCTGATCTCTCAGTTCCATGAGCCAGTAAGTTAGTAAGTTAATTACCTTTCTTGATGTGCTTAAACGAATGAGGTTTTTGGGTTTTTTGTCACCTACAACACCTTGAGAAGGATCAATAGCAAATAACATCTATTAGGTTAAGCTTGGGGCCATAAATCCTTAAACTAATTTAGTGTTTATGCTCTCATCATTCAATAATTCCCTTATCTTTTCATCTAGTCTGCATTACTGCCTGCAATAATTTGCCTGACCCACGGCTTTAGCGCTTAGTGTGAAAGAAGTAACTCAAGTAGAGTAAACAAATGACACTGTGAGTACATTAATGCTTCTGACCCTATAATGTCATCTTTTAAATAGGTTATGCATGTGTAACACTGCAGCCGACCATCTGTACTGCTTATCTAAGTTCTGTAATGAAATGGCCAGGGCCCTGTTTATTTATGTGATACAGGCAGCCTCCCTCTAAATCTAATTCAATCTTCAGTCACTGTTTTGTAGGCTAGGAGCTCTAATGACCGCGAAAGAAATGTGTGCTGCTTCAGATGATGCTATTAAAAGAAACTTGTTCCCAAAGAAATTTTTATCTCCTGATAGGGGGGAGCTAAATCACTATAAATTATGGAAAAGGAAATTGCAAATGTATCTTGCTTTCTTTTTATTGGAGGCATTGTTTTCTCACAACTGTCAAGTAGAGCATACACCTATTTTGAAAAGCTTTTAACAACTTTGAATTAAGCAAAAATGGAGAAATAAGAGGCTGCAGAATTAGAGAAGCTAATGCAACCCTGCTTTGCAAAGCAAAGGCAGGGTTTCACCATTCCTTTTTTATTCACAAATGGCACTATCAAGGAGGTGGGCGGGGTGGCACAGAAGGTGAAACAGAGAAAAGCAACAGCAAAATACAGTAAAGAGAAGTGAGATCATCAGGAGAATCATAAGAATCTTGAAAGGAAAAGCTGAGAACTTTAGAATTTCATTCTCCTGGGGCAGAGGAAAAGAGGATGGGGAGGGGAGGAGGACAGGAGGGGTGGGGCAGCAATTTGAATTCGTTTCAACTGAATAAGTAATCAATCAATCTACTCCTGTTAGTGTGAACTTGGATCTTATAAAAAAGAATCTCAAAAAGAATGACTGTTTGTCTTTCCTGTTCATCACGGGGGATTTCAGTGGACTCAGGACCATTACTATTCACATTAATCACACAGTGGCTGTGCTCAGCAAAGCCAGCAGAGGGAGTACAAGATTAATGGGTGGCTTCCAAGCTTTGCCAAGGAACCGATGCCCGTATCCAGGACCTCCCAATACGGTTTGTGAAGAGGAACCTCTGGCTCTCTCCCATGCCTCCTTCCTTAACTGCTTCCCTTCATCTCCCTCTTCCCCTACCCCAATACATCCCTACCCCCCCTCCCCCTGCATCAATCCTCCCACCAAATTGTCTGATTTGTCATTTGGAAACATTTTACCAGAGAATTCACAGGTTGACATTCTGTTGGCCAACCCCATGACAGATGGGAAAGAAAGGCCCCAATGTAGGTCAAACAATAAAAATCATGCTGGATGGATTTTGAGTGCCAAGCAAAATCTAACCTTAGGAGAAAATAACAGGTTGCAAAATTGCATGTGTACTAGGATCTCAAGTGTATAATATTTTTAATTATAGAAAAAAAGAGAAATTTATCAAATTAAGAATGGTTGCCCTGGAGTGTGATGTGTCTGAAGGGGGGTGAGATTTGTGGGATGATTTTTTTCTTCCTTCATTGCATATTTCCATACTTCAGATGTATACATTGTATACGATGTATACATTGAACAGCTTTGATCACCATAGGAAAAATAAAACATTATAAATGCCCATGTTTATTTTACGTGTTCACATGCAATACTCTCTGTTTAATAATGCCATAGAAAATGTTCATGTGGGCCGATCATGGTGGCTCATGCCTGTAATCCCAGCACTTTGGGAGGCTGAGGCGGGTGGATCACTTGAGGTCAGGAGTTCGAGACCAACCTGGCCAACATAGTGAAACCCCGTCTCTACTAAAAATACAAAAATTAGCTGGGTGTGGTAATGCACGCCTGTAATCCCAGCTGCTCTGGAGGCTGAGGTGGGAGAATCGCTTGAACCTGGGAGGCAGAGGTGGCAGAGAGCCAAGATTGGGCTACTGCACTCCAGCCTGGGTGACAGAGCGACACTGTCTCAAAAAACAAAAAAAAGAAAAAAGAAAATGTTCATGTGACTATACTAACTAGCTTTGCAAAGGAAAGAAGAAAACAAGCTCTTATGGAGTCCTAGGTGCTAGGAACTGTATTAGGAGTTGGGGGATAACAAGATGAGTTAGACACACTCTGACCTCAGGAAGCTCACAGTCACACAGAGCATCTTATTCCCTTCTCACAATGACTCTATGAGTGTCTTAGGCCATTCCTGCTGGTCTCACAAAATACCACCAACTAGGTAATTCATAAACTATAGAATTTTTTTTCTCACAGTTCTGCAGGTTGGGATGTTCAAGATCATAGTGTGGGGCTGGGTGTGGTTGTTCATGCCTGTAATCCCAGCACTTTGGGAGGCCAAGGATGGTGGATCCCCTGTGGTCAGGAGTTTGAGACCATCTTGGCCAACATGGTGAAACCCTGTCTCTACTAAAAATACAAGAAATTACCCAGGCCTGGTGGCAGGCCCCTGTAATCCCAGCTACTCGGGAGGCTGAGGCAGAAGAATTGCTTGAACCTGGGAGGCAGAGGTTGCAGTGAGCAGAGTTTGAGATCGCGCCATTGCACTCCAGCTCGGGCGACAAGAGCAAAACTCCATCTCAAAAAAAAAAAAAAAAAAAAGAAAGAAAATCACAGCATAGGTAGATTTGGTGTTTGGTGAAGGTCTGTTCCATAGATGGTGATTTCTCATGGCATCCTCACATGGTGGAAAAGGTGGCAGGAAAGAGCTCACATCTATTAGTCAAGCTATTTAATTAATGATTTCCTTTATCTCAACTGATTTTTAACTGAACTTTATTTTAAAAGAAGCTTTGTGCTATTATCATAAATGCAAATCAGAATTATTTTCAATAAATAAGAGATAACCATAAAGTAAGCAAAATAAAAACAAAAATTTATATACTATTGTTGAGGAAGCTCCAACTCTCTTTGTTAAGCTCTCTCTTTGTTATGAAAGGGAGACTAGCAAGTATGAGAGGGACATAGCACCTCACTGAGGCTTTCTTCTTGAAATAAACAGAAGGTCTTAACAAGTCCTGAAAGGGAAAAGCTTTGTATACAATTTAATGCATACTGTAAATGACATGGAGGCTTTGAAAACACAGTACTACTTGATGCAAAGCCAAGAGAAATATCCCAGTCAAAGCAGAAGAGAGAAACCTAGCGGCTGAAAGCCAGAGCTTAGGTGAAAGAATGTATAAATCAAATTTCACTACCATGATTGTTTTGGAAATATAAGCATCAACTGGAACATGAAACTAAAAGCCATCTTTTAAAATACAAAAATGTTATTTCTTAGTGACGAGACAGTGCAATGAGTTAGAATACCATTTTAGAAATGAAATAGACATGGATTCAAATCCAGCTAAGCTATTTATTACATGCTCACCCTGTTTTTCTCCAAACTTCAATGTCTTCATCTATAGGCCAATGGAGAGTGATAAGTAGTTTTTAATTATAAACTGGCCATTTGTGTATCTTAGGTTAAAGGATAATTTTCCCAAAAAGGTAAAATCATGACTATCATATAGACATAAAATGAACATCTGGAATACATTTTATTTAACTCATTACTAATGAGTGAACCACCGAAATGTTATCATTCATTCAAAGGAGAAGTCCAACAGCAGATACATATATAGATGGGAACACTGAAATAAATTTGCAAGTAGACACAAAACTGTTTATTTCCACAATAAGAGAGGAAAATCAGTTGACTGTCCGCAGGACAGAATTTCCTTGCATGATTATGAACAAGAAATATTTGCATTACTATTAGTTTTATCATCAATTTCTGAATTGTTGTGATCAATACAGAAATCTATAGTAAAACACTTTTCAAGTTAACTTCTATCTCAACAGACTTGTAAAATAGCTTAGCCAAAGACCAAGATGTATATCCCTGTAGGATTACGTGGTCTCTAAAGACAGGTATTTCATTGAAAGAATATCCAATGTGAATATTCCAAAAGAATATCTCTTTTATTTATTCCAAAGTCTTAAATTTTGCCTTATACTTATGTTAAGACTGGATCTGTAAAACTTACCTTTTTACTTTATTTTTTTATTGAGACAGGGTTTTGCTCTGTTACCCAGGCTGGAGTGCAGTGGTGCCATCAGGGCTCACTGAAGCCTCAACCTCCCAGGCTCAAGAGAGATCCTCCCACTTTAGCCTCCCAAGTAGCTGAGATTACAAGTACATGCCACCATGCCCACCTAATTTTTTATTTTTGGTAAAGAATAGGTCTCACTTTGTTGCCCAGTCTGGTCTCAAACTCGTGAGCTCAAGCAATCTACCTGCCTTGGCCTCCCAAAGTGCTTAGAATACAGGCATGAGCCACTGTACCCAGCCAATTGTTCACAATTAACAATTGTTCACATTAAAATATTGCCAACATTAATGATTCTGTAATACTGTGATTAACTAATTGGAGAGATGGAATACATGAACTTTAAGGCCGCTTCAAATTCTACAACTGTAGGATTTGAGCATGTAACGTATTACAATGTTTATATTTTACTAAAGCTAAGTTTCAGAAAGATTAGGAGTAAATTGAAAATCGCCCTGAAACAAAGTTAAAAACATTTCTGAAATTCAAATGTAAGTTAATTAAAAGTTGATAATACAAAAACAAAATTAAAAACAATTTTCAGTAAAATTTGAACTTTATAAAACCAGGCTTTTCCTTATTTAAGAAATATTGACAGGCCGGGCATGGTGGCTCACTCCTGTAATCCCAGCTCTTTGCGAGGCCAAAGTGGCTGGATCACCTGGGGTCAGGAGTTCGAGACCAGCCTGACCAACATGGTGAAACCCCGTCTGTACTAAAAATACAAAAATTAGCCCGACATTGTGGTAGGTGCCTATAATCCCAGCTACTCGGGAGGCTGAGGCAGGAGAATCGCTTGAACCTGGGAGGCAGAAGTTGCAGTGAGTCGAGATCACGCCATTGCACTACAGCCTGGGTGACAAGAACAAAACTCCGTCTCAAAAAATAAAAAAAAAAATAAAGGAAAGAAAAGAAATATTGACAAAGGATGACAACTGTCAAAGAAGAAAAGTGACAAAATCTCCAACTCAGTGTCCTGATCAATATGGAAATTGATGGCAAAACATTTCCAAGACTTTTTCCAAAGACATGGACATGATTTTTAGTGATTTTTAAGTCATTCCTTTGCAAGTCCTTAAACGCTATTTCAATAACAAAAAGTACTGTTTTATAGTGAGAAAGGTAACTAAAGATACATTCTCTAAGCAATTAAGGTAACTTGAGGGTGTTTGGAAGTTGATTTCTTAATTTCATCGTGACTCAAACTCAGATTTCCAGTGAAGTTCTGCAAGTCTGTCAACATTTTCCCACTGGCCCCAGATTGGCTGGTTCTTATTTTTGGTGCGGGGGCACTTCTCTGTGACAAACACACAACTCAATGATTCTCTCTTCGCCATTTATACCACCCAAGCCCTCAGATAAACTTAGTGAACCCAGCAAAGGAATTCAAATAACATTTCCTTCTATTCACAAAAACTTCAACTTTTATGTTCAGTAATTAATGGTGCTGTGTAACCAGGGCTAACATTACAAAATAAGGGCAGTTATTATTTACTGCGGCCATGTAATAAAGTGTCAAAGGTTATCACAACAGGATATCTGTGTTTAAATGGAAAGAGATAAAAAAGACCAAGTCAAACTAGTTATCCCTGTTTTGTTTTTCCACTGGAGGGAAGTCTGTTAAAATAACTTCTAAATAGCTAAGTTGCAGTCTCAGCACAAATAGAAACTTTAATGTTCTAGCCCTTCTTTCCTTCCAATTGTGGGTGGCGCTGAGTATTAGAAATAAATCTAATTGAGTACCTGCAATGTGAAGATGCATTTTCTTTGCGTCTTTTCATGATCTGTATGTAGTACGCATTTTCATTCCATCTTATAGAACGAGGGTAGCTAAGTTCTAGAAGCAATCTGGAAACAGATGTGATGAGCCCGTGTTAATGGCTGGGCAACCATGAGCATGAACTTCATCAGGGCTCCACTCGAACCGCCTTCTCTCTGCTTTCAACTCATGGCCTTGCTTTCTCAGATCCCGCTACCATTTCTCAATATAATTCTAACTGCCATCATCTCAGCCCTTCATCCTTGTATTTATGGAAAGAGGTACAGCTTTTGGAAAACCACTGATTCCTCTCCCTGGGCTGATAGATGAAGACAGGGAAGCTCTGAGAGCTTCAGGTTACATATACAGTCATGTGTTGCTTAACCACCAGGATACTCTTCTGAGAAACGCATCATTAGGGGATTTCATCCTTGTGCAAGCAACATGGAGTGTAAGTTACACAAACCTAGCTAGTATAGCCAACTACACGCCCAAGCTATATGGTGTAGCCTATTGCTCCTAGCTACCAAACCTGTACAGCATGTGACCGTCCTGAATACTGTAGGCAACTGCAACATAGTGGTAAATATTTATGGATCTAAACATGAAAACAGAAAAGCTACAGTAAAAATATGGCATGAAAGCTCAAAACTGTCCACCTGTATAGGGTACTTACCATGAACAAAGCTTGCAGAACTAGAAGTTATTCTGAGTGAGTCAGCGAGTGAGTGGTGAGTGAATGTGAAGGCCTAGGATGTGACTGTACACTACTGTAGACTTTATAAACACTGTACACTTAGGCTACACTAAATTTACTTTAAAAGTTTTCAGGATGGACAGCAGGAAGAGAGTGAGGATCAAAAACCCACCTATCGGGTACTATGCTCATTATCTGAGTGACAAAATAAACTGTACACCAAAGTCCTGAGACATGCAATTTACCCATGTAACAAACCTGCACATATACCTTCTGAACTTAAAAGTTGGAAAGAAAAAAAAAAAGGAACTGAATAGATGTGAGTTTAAATCCAATTAACCATTTATTATACAGTCAGGCACCCCATAATGATGTTTTGGTCAATGATAGCATATAAAACAGTGGTCCCATAAAGATTATAAAGGAGTATAAAGAAAACCTATTCTGTTTTCTTTCTTCAATAATAAATTAACCTTAGCTTGCTGTAACATTTTTCCTTTTGAAACTTTTTAATTTTTTAAACTTTTGACTCTTTTGTAAAAACACAACTTAAAACACAAACACATTGTACAGCTGTACAATTTTTTTTCTTTATATCTTTACTCTGTATTTTTTTCTATTTTTGAAATGTTAAATTTTTTTTTTTTTGAATTTTGTTGAAAACTAAGACAAATACATACATTAGCCTAGGTCTACACAGTCAGGATCATCAGTATCACTGCCTTCCACCTTCACATCTTGTCCCAGTGGCAGATCTTCAGTGGCAACAATAAGCATGGAACTGTCACCTCCTACAGGGACAATGCCTTCCTCTGGAATACTTCCTGAAGGACCTGCCTGAGGCTGTTTTACAGTTGATTTTTTTTTTTTTTTTTTTTTTTTTTTTTGAGACGGAGTCTTGCTCTGTCGCCCAGGCTGGAGTGCAGTAGCAAAATCTAGGCTCACTGCAACCTCCGCCTCCTGGGTTCAAGTGATTCTCCTGCCTCAGCCTCCCGAGTTGCTGGGACTACAGGCATGAGCCACCATACCCGGCTAATTTTTTTTGTATTTTTAGTAAAGACGGGGTTTCACCATGTTAGCCAGGCTGGTCTCGAACTCCTGACCTCAAGTGATCCATCCGCCTCGGCCTCTCAGAGTGCTGGGATAACAGGCATGAGCCACTGCCCCAGACCAACTTATTTTTTATATATGTAAGTAGAAGAATGAAGCCAGGCACAGTGGCTCACGCCTGTAATCTCAGTAGTTTGGGAGGCCAAGGTGGGCAGAGCACTCGAGGTGAGGATTTTGAGACCAGCCTGGCCCACATGGTGAAACCCCATCTCTATTAAAAATACAAAAATTAGCCAGGAGTGTTGGTGCACACTTCTAATCCCAGCTACTTGGGAGGCTGAGGCAGGAGGATTGCCTGAACCCGGGAGGCGGAGTTGCAGTGAGCCGAGATCTCACCACTGCATTCCAGCCTCGGTGACAGAGCAAGACTCCGTCTCAAAAAATAAAAAATTATCATATCCTGTAAATATCTAAACCAGTAATGTAGTCGTTTATTATCAACTATTATGTACTTTACATAATTGTATGTGCTGAAGTTTTATACAACTAACAGTGCGGTAGGTTTGTTTACACCAGCATTACCATAAACTTGGGAGTAATGCATTGTGCCATTGATGTTAAAGGCTAGTCAATAGGCAATAGGAATTTTTCATCTCCTTTATAATCTTTATGGAACCACCGTTTTATACACTATCTTTCGTTTACCAAAACATCATTATGAGGTTCATGACCGTATAATCAATGCTTAATTGGATTTAAACCCACATCTATTCAGTTTCTAAGTTGATGCCTTCTCCCTTATGCATTACCTCCTTATTGAAAAATAAGCTTGTATTCTTTTTAAAATTGACTTTACGGACAGGTGTGGTGGCTCACGCCTGTAATCTCAGCACTTTGGGAGACCGAGACAGGCAGATCACCTGAGGTCAGGAGTTTGAGACCAGCCTGGCCAACATGGCAAAACCCTGTCTTTACTAAAAAATACAAAAATTAGCCGGGTATGGTGGTGCATGCCTGTAATCCCAGCTACTCAGGAGGCTGAGGTGGGAGAATCGCTTGAACCCAGGAGGTGGAGGTTGCAGTGAGCCAAGATCACACCACTGTACTCCAGCCTGGGCGACAGAGCAAGACGTTCTCAAAAAAAAAAAAAAAAAAAAAAAAATTGGCTTTACATGTTTATTTTAAAAATAATTCCAGCTATGGCCGGGCGCGGTGGCTGAAGCCTGTAATCCCAGCACTTTGGGAGGCTGAGGCGGGTGGATCACGAGGTCAGGAGATCGAGACCACGGTGAAACCTCGTCTCTACTAAAAATAGAAAAAATTGGCTGGGCATGGCGGTGGGCGCCTGTAGTCCCAGCTACTCGGGTGGCTGAGGCAGGAGAATGGCGTGAACCCGGGAGGCGGAGCTTGCAGTGAGCCGAGATCGCGCCACTGCACTCCAGCCTGGGAGACAGAGCGAAACTCCGTCTCAAAAATAATAATAATAATAATAATAATAATAATAATAATAACAATAATTCCAGCTATGTAAGAAAACACAATAAGAAAGTAAAAACTACTCAAATTCCCACCATGCAGTGGTTAATACTTGGATATATTATTTTCAAGGTTGTTTTGATTGCTGTTGTTTTTGTTTTTGAGATGGGTTCTCACTCTGTCACCCAGGCTGGAGTACAGTGGCGCAGTCACAGCTCACTGCACCCTCAAGCTCGTGGCTTCAAACAATTCTCTCACCTCAGCCTCCCAAGTAGCTAGGACTACAGGCACATGCCGCCATGCTTGGCTGTTTTCCAGTTTTTAAAATACATCTTACAAAACTGAAATCATCTAGTAATAACATTCTATAACCTCCTTATTTTCACTCAACAGGATATCAGTACCATTTTTTCATTAAATATTTTAAGAACATGGTTGCTTATCACTGCAAATAACTCCTTCATATTAATGTACTAATTTATTTAAATGATTCCAGTAACATTTTAAACCAATTTTGGTTATCAAAATCTTTCATCTTAGATGTTTATTCTATAAGTGGAGTTATTGCGTGAATAACTCATAGAAATCAGAAATTAAGACTATAAGGTTTCCAGCCTGGGCAACATGGCCAAACCCCGCCTCTACAAAAAAATATAAAACTTTGTTGGGCATGGTGGTGCACGCCTGTAGTCCCAGCTACACAAGAGGCTCAGGTGGGAGGATTGCTTGAGCCTGGGAGGTTGAGGCTGCACTGAGCAGAGATTGTACCACTGCACTCCAGCCTAGGCAACAGAGTAAGACCCTGTCTCAAAAAAAAAAAAAAAAAAAAAAAAAAAAAAAAAGACTATGTGTTTTATCAACAGTTGCCTGTGCAATGGGCTAAAGAGCAGGGACTTCCAAACAAAGAAAAAAAGAGTTATGTATAATAAAGTATAATAAAGATATTAACGTGTCTGAATGCTTTATAACACACATTTCTTTTTTTTTTTTTTTTTTTTGAGGTGGAGTCTCACTCTCTTGCCCAGGCTGGAGTGCAGTGGCGCGATCTCGGTTCACTGCAAGCTCCGCCTCCCGGGTTCACACCATTCTCCTGCCTCAGTCTCCCGAGTAGCTGGGACTACAGGCACCCGCCACCACACCCGGCTAATTTTTTTGTATTTTTAGTAGAGACGGGGTTTCACCATGTTAGCCAGGATGGTCTCGATCTCCTGACCTTGTGATCCGCCTGCCTCGGCCTCCCAAAGTGCTGGGATTACAGGTGTAAGCCACTGCGCCCGGCCTATAACACACATTTCTTAAAACTAAAAAGAAAAACTTTTCATTTAGGCAGCACTTACACAATACCAAAAGATTCAGGTCAAGAATGAAAAATGATGAAGATGGAAAATTATCAGGCAGTTTTGTCTAAGTGCTGAATCATCTGTATGATTTTGGTAATATCTGGGATGAAAGTGTACTTAGTCTTTAAAGTACAGGGGGAAAAACAATACAACCACGCTGCAATCTAGAAATGAAATGCAATGAGATATGTTTTGAACATTTCTATATGAAGCATAAAAAGTCACTGGGAAATGTGAAGTAAGGTGGTATTACAACCACAATGTTCACTGACATTTTTCCACCCTTCACCCTGTCGAGTCTCTTGCAAGCAGACTTGAACACACCTGCTGAGTTGGGTCTAGCCAGAATTTTATAGGAGCTATAGTTCTCAACACACAAAAAGGGGTTTGCTTGCATGTGTAGCATATATTAGATAAAGGATAACTATAGCATAAAAATATTGGGAGAAAAGAGCTGGCAGCAAGAAACCATACAGCAACAGCCTCAAGAAGAAATAGGTTCAGTAACATTTAAATTGCTTATCGTGACTAGCCAGCCTTGCAGATGTAAAAAGCACCTTTCTCCATAACAACTGACTTACTAACATGAGCATGTGAGAGCCCTTCTAAGGCTATGTGGATTAGAATGTGGCATACCAAGAGTTTCACCCAATGCCACAGAGATCTTCTTCTTTGATAGACTGGCTAATAGGTTAAACAGAATTTTCCTAGAATTATTCCCTCTCTTATAAGTTGCCCATATCTCACTTATTTCCCTGAAAAAAAAATTTTTTTCTGGCATTAAGCTTTTTTTTTTTGAGATGGGGTCTCGCTTTGTCGCCCAGGCTGGAGTGCGGTGGCACGATCTTGGCTTACTGCAGCCTCCACCTCTTGCCTCCCAGGTTCAAGACATTCTCCTGCCTCAGCCTCCTGAGTAACTGGAATTACAAGCGTGAGCCACCACGCCCAGCTAATTTTTCTAGTGTTAGTAGAGATGGGGTTTCACCATGTTGGCCAGGCTGGTCTCAAACTCCTGGCTGCAAGTGATCTGCCCACCCCGGCCTCCCAAAGTGCTGGGATTACAGGTGTGAGCCACCTTGCCCCAGCCACATTAAGCATTGTTAGGCTTTAAAAAACAACAAGGCCGGGTGTGGTGGCTCACGCCTGTAATACCAGCACTTTGGGAGGCCAAGGTGGGTGGATCACCTGAGGTCGGGAGTTCAAGATCAGCCTGGCCAACATGGAGAAACACTGTCTCTACTAAAAATACAAAATTAGCTGGGCGTGATGGCGCATGCCTATAATCCCAGCTACTCAGGAGGTTGAGGCAGGAGAGTTGCTTGAACCTGGGAGGTGGAGTTTGAGATGAGCCGACATCGTACCATTGCACTCCAGCCTGGGCAACAAGAGCGAAACTCTATCTCAAAAGCAAACAAACAAACAAACAAAAACAACAACAAGCAAAAACTCCCTCTCATGCTCCATTCCGTGATCATTTACCATTATTGTCAAGGAACCACCTTAATTTTTGCTATCTGTGAGAGAGAGGAGGGAGGGAAGGGAAGGGGAGAGAGAAGCACCAGAAGGAGAAAAAAACCTCATCACAGCTCTGAGAGAATGTTTAGGAAAAATAAGGATGATTTATCCCACATCTTGAAGGCTGGATTTTAAAGAATTAGGTAGACATAGTTATATGCTTTCTTGACTGGGATTACATTATAACCAACAAAGGATTGGTAAAATCACAGTTGATCTTGGCAAAGTCGCCTCTGCCTCATCATTCAGAATTCAGCTCCGATGTCACTTCCTTGGAGAGCTGCTCCTTTGACTCCCAGGTATAATATAGAACCTGAGTCAACTTCTAACTCCCCCTTATTATTAAGGACCCTGCACAGCACTTGTGGCTATTACATTTGGAATTTTTTACAAGTTGGTGTGTGTTTGCTTCCTTGTTTTCTGTTTGCCTGCACTATAGTGACAGCTTCAAGAGAACATGGTTATTAGTCTTATGGACGGTATTGCTAGTCACCTACCCAAGATGCATTTAATTGTACCCTACTTCCCAAGTTTGTTTACAGAAAACAAGGAGCCCATCAAAGAAAACAAAAGCAAACAAATGCTACATTTCTTAGCTCCCCTGCTGCTAGGGGTAGCCACAAGATGTGCAAAGAGATACGACCAGAAATTGTTGTGTAGAGCTTTTCGGGAAAGCATCCTGGAGGGAGGAATCCTCTGGAACATACCTTCTCCCCTTCCATTTCCCCTTCCTTAATGGAATACAGACACTGCTGGAGGGAGAGCAGCAAGCTGGGACGACATAGAGAAGGTAGAGGCAGGCATGGTCCCCAGTGGCCCCTTGGAGCCACTGCGCAGGCACTGGACTGTCTGTGTCTAGACTTCTAATTACAGGAGAAAAATAAAACCCTTATTTGGTATAAGCCATTGCTGTCGGTGTTTCTGTCATTCCCTGACAAAAGTCATTCCCAGTTGATATATCGCAGTATTCCTAGTACTTTGAACAGTGTCTGGCACATGGTAGATGTTCAACATTTGTGGAGGGGGGTGAGATTGAAGGTTATTCACCATCAGGCCCTAATATAAAATAATAGATATATATTGGAGTTCGAAGATGCCAATTAACCATATTCCTCATTCCTAAGGATTCCAAGTCAATTGACAATAGACGCAGAAAATAAGAGTTTCTAAATGACCTTTCACTCATTCATTCATTCGATATTTATCGAACTCCTATTATGCAGCACACACCATACCAAGCAATGCGGATAAAGCAGCAGATGTAACAGACCAAAATGCCTGCCCACGTGGTGCCTTTATTTAGTGGTAGAAGAAAGACCATAAACAAGATATATGTGTGTTCTAGGAGTTGGGGGACGATTTGAAGAAGAGAATCACAAAAGTCCTCCCTGAAGAGTCATTTGAATATAGTTCTAAGGGAGCAATATGGGACTATGCGAGGGAAGAATATTCTAGGCAGACAGTAGAGCAAATCTGTGGGCCTGTCGTGGACATTTTCAAGGTCTTGACCGTATGCCTCAAGTTTTCCCATTTTAGTGCCAGCCTGATGTCAAATGACCAGCATCATCACCCCTTATGCCTGAAGGCCTTCTCTGGGCACTGGACCCTGCCTTACCCCAGGCCTGAGACAGTCCCCTCAGGAGGGCTAAGATTGTTCACCCCCGAAGTGCAAGCTCTACACCGGCTCCCAAACCTTGCCAGTGGAATTGAGATCAGTTGCCCACAGGGGTAGTTGGCTGAGGGGCACGCCCTTTCCTTTCCATCTCCTTTCCCAATTTCCTTCACTTTCCAAAAAAACAATTTATATTCAAATCCTTGTCTCCAACTCTGTTCCTGGTGGAGGACACAAAGTGAGAAAGACCCTGAGTTTGGATATGTAAGGAGGCCGGGATTGCTGTACCTGAGGGAGGGAATGGAGAGAGTGACATAGAGTCATGGCACAAGGTCTTGTAGGACCCCACACACTCCAGCTTTTATGCCAAGATAGGAAGCCTTTGGAGGGTTTGGGGTATGGCCTTGACTTACGTTTTAAATGTTCACGCCAGGCGCCATGGCTCACACCTGGAATTCTAGCACTTTGGGAGGCCAAGGTGGGTGGATTGCTTCAGCCTAGGAGTTTGAGGCCAGGCTGGGAAATATGACAAAACCCTGTCTCTACTAAAAACACAGAAATTAGCCCAGTGTAGTGGCACACACCTGTTGTCCCAGCTACTTGGGGGACTGAGGCAGGAAGATCGCTTGAACCTGGGAGGTCAAGGCTGCAGTGAGCCGAGATGGTGTCGTGACACTTCATCCTGGGTGACAAAGTGCAACCCTGTCTCAATCAATCAATCAATCAGTCAATCAATCAATCAATAAATGCTCACTCTAGCTGCTGTGCTCAGAATGGGTGATAGGAGACAATGTCGGAAGCAGGGAAACTTTTTTTTTTTTAAATAGAGATAGGGTCTCACTATGTTGCCCAGGCTGATCTTGAACTCCTGAGCTCAAGTGATCCTCCTGCCTCAGCCCCACAAAGTGCTAGGATTAGAGGCAAGAGCCACCACACCCGGCCTGGAAGCAGGGAAACTTCTAATAAGGAAACTATTACAACTAGTGCAGGTAATAAATGATCGGAACTAGGGTCAGAGTGGTAGCTTTATGACTGTCAAAGCTGGAGTGAAGAACACTGCCTAGACACAATGCCAGCATGATCTTCCCGTCCCTGGTCACCTCAGTTGAATTCATCCTCCAGTAGAGCAGCTGGAAAACCTCAGACCTCCAGGTGCTGAGCAGAGTCAGCATTCACAAAGTCACACACTAGGGTCTGAGTCCTGGCTTCATCACTTACTACCAATGTATCTTTGCCCAAGGTGCCTAATGTCTCTAAGGCTAAAATATATTACCTACCATATAGGACTGCTGTGAAGAATTAAATTAAACGAGAGAATGTTTGTAAATTGCTGAGCACAATGCTTGGACCAATAAATTACAGCTTTAATATGATCATTCTGATTATCATACTTCATCAATTATAAGACATCATAGCTACTAAATGCCTTGTTATTTATCTACCTCCAAGGAAGAATAAAAATGAGGCCACTTAAATATGACGCAAGGTCTTAATGACAGTCCTGCATTACACATGAATGAGACACATCAGCTCTTCCCTGCTTTGAAGTATCTTTTTTTTGAGACGGAGTCTTGCTCTGTCACCAAGGCTGGAGTGCCGTGCCACGATCTCAGTTCACTGCAACCTTTGCCTCCTGGGTTCAAGCCATTCTACTGCCTCAACCTCCCCAATATCTGGGATTACAGGTATGCACAACAACGCCCAGCTAATTTTTATATGTTTAGTAGAAATGGGGTTTCACCATGTTGGCCAGGCTGGTCTCAAACTCCTGACCTCATGATCTGCCCATCTTGGCCTCCCAAAATGCTGGCTTTACAGGCATGAGCCACTGCACCCGGCTGAAGTATCTTTCATCTGTTCCAAGGAATTTGGCCATTTCTCCTGCCTTCAGTTGCATGATGTGTGATGGGAAATGCTTTTGCATATATCTGAGAAACAGCATGAACTCAGTATAACTGGCAGCTTCATCTCCTTGAGGTTGTCTGTCTTCTTAGATTCCTTCCACAAAACACTTAGAGGAATTGATGTCATTCCTCCTTTGACAAATATTTGTTTCAATAACATCATTTGCACCCTGCTACTTTACTTCTGTAGCCACGAAAACTGTGAAAACCGTGGATATAATAACTTTTCTTTTTAGTGCTGAATCACTGTGTATTCTTTCATAAAGTATATAAATGTCCATGAAACTGAACATGTATGGTTCCAACCATGGGCAAAATGTCATTGAAGCAACACTTTTGGATGTATCTGACTAAGTTAACAGATTCATAAGCAAGAAAAACTACATCATGACCCAACAGAAATGGATACTCATGTGTGCTAAAACTCACATACTATGTTTTTAGCAGCAGTAGGGGAGAAAAAGTAAGATCTTTTCCTCACCCATCACAAGGTTCATGGCTGAGGCCCCTGTAACAAAAGGTGACCTAACAAGAGAAAAGCATACAGATTTATTTCATGTAAGTTTTATGTGACATGGGAGCCTTCACAAAAGAAGACCTGAAGAAACAGATACAAGTGTGTACTTTTATGAAGAATCATGTCAAAGTATAATTGGAGGACAAAAGGGTATGATCTAATGGGAATAAGCTGGGGGGAATTTACAAGGTCTATTTCTTCAGATTCTTCTTGGCATCTCTGTGTCTTCATTCCTTTCCTCCAGGTATAGGGAGGACCTCTCTGGAAGGAGAGTCTAATCACCTACTCTCAGGGGAAGGTCAGCTAGTTTTCATGGACTACATTAGGGGAGAAGGGTGAGACAGATCAGAGAGACCTTCTTGCTTCTGTGGTTTTCTCAAATGCCAAGGTGCCATATTTTGGACGTAGCATGTCCTGAACCCCATTCACAACCCTATTCATAAAAGCCTCAGACTGGAAACCTCCCAAATATCCATCAATGGCGGAATAGAGAAATGTTGGTATATGCGTACTATGAAATACGCAGCAATGAGAATGAATAAAAAAGTACTAGCAACAACATATGTAAACCTGACAGATGTAATATGGAGAAAAAGAAACCAGATAACAAAATACAATTCCCTTTCTATGAAGTTCAAAAACAATCAAAACTCATCTATGCTGTCAGAAGTCAGGAGAGTTGCTACTTGCGGTGGGGGTGGAGTTGAATAATGACTGCTTTTGAATAAGAGAGGAGCATCTAAGAGGCTGATAATGTTCTCTTTCTGGAGTTAGGTGCTGACAACATGGGTGTGAACGGCTTATGAAAATTACAATTCACTGAGTTGTGCACTTATGACTTTTTCTGAAGTTATTTTCATTTTTTTTGAGACAGGGTCTCACTCTGTCACTGGCACTGGAGTGCAGTGGTATAACCATAGCTCACTGTAGCCTCGGATTCCTGCGCTCAAGCAATCCTCAACCCTCAGCTTTCTCAGTAGCTGGGACTGCAGGCACGTGACACCACACCTGGCTAATTTTTATTTTGTAGAGATGGGGGTCTTGCTATGTTGTCCAGTCTGATCTCAAACTCCGTGCCCCAAGCAGTTCTCCTGCCTCAGCCTTCCAAAGTGCTAGTATTACAGGTGTGAGCCATTGCACCCGGCCATTTTTCTCTAAGTATACTATAGATCAAAAAAGTTAAAAATACTGAAGACCCAGAGTGTGTTTACATATTTATATGTGTATATATATAGATATATACACACATACATACACATACATGTACATAGCTATGTGTACATGAGTGTATATAACTATAAAACTGATCTTTATTGGGATGAAAAAGTGACACTTGAGTGAGGGATGACTTGTCACATCTTATAAAATTTTACTGATTGAAATTTTATGTAAAACATACTCAGAAGGCTGAAGCAGGAAGATTACTCGAGGCCAGGAGTTCAAGACCATCCTGGGCAAAATAGCAACACTGTGTCTCTAAAAAATATATATTTTTTTTATTGAGACAGAGTCTCACTCTGTGGCCCAGACTGGAGTGCAGTGGCGTGATCTCGGCTCCACTTCCCAAGTTAAAGTGATTCTCCTGCCTCAGCCTCCCAAGCAGCTGGGACAACAGGGGCACACTATCACACTCAGTTAGTTTTTAATTTTTTCGTAGAGAAAAGGTCTCACTATATTGAAAAATATTTTTTTTAAACTTTTCTGCAAAACAAAACAATCAACACTTACTTCATTCTTTGCCTCTTGCATGTAGTTGCAATCAGAAACATTTTATTGAATAAGTAAAATAACTTTCTTTTTATAATTTTATTTTTGTTTTCTTTCAAGAAAAATTCCCATTGAACCTGCATGCACCCCAAACACTCACCTATGCTATGTACTGAAGTTTGCTCTTCGTTTAAAGTGTTTTTATCTAGTGGTAGTTTTCCTCAGATAATTAGGACTTCCTGTGAGTGGAAACCGCTGCAGAAACACAGCAGAAGAAACAAAAATTTCTTCCTTGGAAAAGCTTGGAAAGTATTCCTGCAGAAATGTGTAAAACTGTGGCTTCTGACACAAGAATCCTCAGCTCAGAAGGTCAAGGCTCAATCATTAGATGAGATGAGACTGATGAACTAGAGGAATGCCCAGGATTCAATGGCATTGTTTTCTCTGCACACTAGAAAATTGTCTCTTGTTATTTAGGCTGCAATTTACCAAACTTCCAGTCATTTCCCTTCACTTCTGTAATAGCCAAGGAGGTGAAGAAGACTGAAATATTCTCCCCAGGAATACCCAACCTTCTTTTCCTACACACTATAGTGTAATTACTTTTCATATGTTCTTACATGCTTGGCTGCACGATTCAGTTTACATTCCTACTCCATGAGTAGATTAATTTATCAACCAGTTGAAAACTATCAACAGACTTCCAGATACTCCAACTAGATTAGAAGAATCACCCAGCCCAGCCCAGCCCAGCCCCGTCTCTGCATCTGCGAAATCATGACATATAAGAAAACGGGGGCCGGGCACGGTGGCTCACACCTACAATCCTAGCACTTTGGGAGGCCTAGGTGGGTGGATCACCTGAGGTCAGGAGTTCAAGACCAGCCTGGCCAAAAATATTAAAAATACAAAAATTAGCCAGGCATGGCGGAGGGCACCTGTAATCCCAGTTACTTGAAAGGCTGATGCAAGAGGATCACTTGAACTCTGGAGGTGGAGGTTGGAGTGAGCTGAGATTGTGCCACTTCACTGCAGCCTGGGCGAAAGAGCAAAACTCCATCTCAAAAAAAAAAAAAAAAAAAAAGAAAAGAAAAGAAAATGGTTGATGCTTTAAGTCACCGGGTTTTGGTGAAGTGTGTTATGCATCAATACATAACTGGAACAGCAGCAATTTGTTTCCAATGATGGGTAACTATAAGGAAATACACTAATTTTTGTAGATTTGGGAAAAGACTGAGAAACTTATTAACCCCAAGAGAATTGCAAAATAAGATAACTGAAATAAATCTTAGAGACCCATTGGTACCAATGGGTCTTTTATTTTATCAATTTTTTTTTTTTTTTGAGACAGAATCTTGCCCTGTTGCCCAGGCTGGAGGGCAGTGGCCCAATCTTGGCTCACTGCAACCTCTGCCTCCTAGGTTCAAGCGATTTTCCTGCCTCAGCCTCCCGAGTAGCCGGGATTACAGGTACATGCCACCACACCTGGCTTTTTTTTTTTTTTTTTTTGTAGCGATGGGGTTTCACCCTGTTGCCCACGCTAGTCTTGAACTCCTGAGCTCAAGCGATCCGCCCGCCTCAGCCTCCCAAAGTGCTGAGATTAGAGGCGTGAGCCACCACACTAGCCTCTGATTCCTTTTTGTTTATCTATTTTTTTTGTAAGAGACAGGGTCTCACTCTGTTGACCAGGCCGGAGGGCAGTGTTAAGATAATAGCTCAGTGCAGCCACAAACCCCTGGGCTCAAGCAACTTTCCCACCTCATCCTCCCAAAGTGTTGGGATTACAAGCATGAGCCACCACGTCCAGCCCCAACCTTTACCTTTAAAGTTTCAAGGTCAGCCCGTGTTCCTCTGCTCTTTTCAAATACACTCAATCCTTTGGTAATTTCTTTCAGTCTCATGGCTTTAAACATCATCCATATATCCTTAACTCCCAAATTATATCTGGCCCAGACCTTTCACCTGAACTCCAGACTCGCTTATTAAACTACTTACTCAATTTCTCCTCTTGGATGTCTAATACATATGTTGAAATTCGCCTGGCCAAAACTTGACTCCTGTCCTTCCACCCCACCCCTAACTTGTTCCTCATGCAGTCTTCCATATTGCAGCAAATTTCAACTCCATTTATCCAGTTGCTCTGGCCTAAAACCTTGAATTTCATCCTTGCATGCTCTCTTTTTCTCACTTTCTGTAGCCTATCCACCAGAAAATCCTGTCGGCTCCATCATCACAATGTATCCAGAATCCAACCGCTTCTATCACTTCTGCTAACAATAAACACCCTGGTCTAAGTCATCATCATCTCTCCCCTGGATGAAGCCACAGCTCACAGCAGCTGGAGGATGGATGCCCCTCTAAGTAAAGGGGATTTGAGCAGGGCACTGACAGCATCCACTCCAGTGACAGCACACAGAGCTGCACCTACCACCCATGTCATCAGGCTCTCCATGTTAAAGCTCTTTGCCTTGCAGCACAGATACTTACTCACTCATTTGACAGACATATTGTAAACCAAAAAGTATCTGAGACAAGTCTCAATCACTTTAGAAGTTTATTTTGCCAAAGTTGAGGACACACCTGGTAGACAAGTCTGTACCTTTCTCCAAAGATGACTTTGAAGGCTTCAATATTTGAAGGGGAAAAGCAGGCTGTGGGAGAAACAGGGAGGGTACGGTCACATTCCTGAATCCACACGTTGCAAGAGAAAAGGAGCAGGTAAGGGAAAAGCTTACTATGTGTCCTTCTTGTTCTCAATAAATTGTCACTTTCCACAAGATAAGGTGAACACAGAGTGGAGACATTTAACCTTTAATCTGCTGCTATCCGCTTAGGAACAAAATGAAAGGCAGTTGCTTGCATCATGACTCAGCTTTCAGCTGAATTTTTTCCTTTTGGCTTAGTGAATGAGGGTCCCAGAGTTTTTATTTTCCTTTCACAATATCCTGAGCACTTACTCCACGCCATGCGCGTTTCTTTTTTTTTTTAGACGGAGTCTCACTCTGTCGCCCAAGGCTGGAGTGCAGTGGCGTGATCTCGGCTCACTGCAACCTCCGCCTCCCGGGTTCACGCCATTCTTCTGCCTCAGCGTCCAAGTAGCTGGGACTACAGGCACCTGCCACCACGCCTGGCTAATTTTTTGTATTTTTAGTAGAGATGGGGTTTCACCGTGTTAGCTAGGATGGTCTTCATCTCCTGACCTCGTGATCCGCTTGCCTCGGCCTCCCAAAGTGCTGGGATTACAGGCATGAGCCACTGAGCAAGGCACGTGAGATTCTTGGAGCTCATACATTTGCCCCCTAATATTCTAGAGGGGACAATGACAAGCCTGGACTCAGCAGTGACCAGATTGATTCTTTTGCATTGTCCCTATAAGATCCAGAATTATTTTAGTTTCTTCCTTCTTACTCTGTATATAAATTGGTCTTCAATTAAATAGGAAAAATAGGCTGGGCACAGTGGCTCATGCCTGTTAATTCCAGCACTTTGGGATGCTGAGGTGGGCGGATTGCTTGAGTTCAGGAATTTGAGATCAGCCTGGGTATTATGGCGAAACCCCATCTCTACCAAAAAATACAAAAATTAGCTGGGTGTGGTGGCATGCGCCCATAGTCCCAGCTACTCGGGAGGCTGAGGCAGGAGGATCACCTGAGCCCAGTTGAGGCTGCAGTGAGCTGTGATCAGGCCACTGCACTCCAGCGTCGGTGACAGAGTGAGACTTTGTCTAAAAAATATACATATATATATATGAGAAAAATAAACATGTACACATATAACATACACACGTGTATATATTAATATGTATTTGTGTATATATACATATATATGTTTGTATAAATATAGGGAGAAAACCAAAAAAGTTTTATACGTACATATACATTTTTCTAGTTTCTGGGATATGTGTGTATACATATGTATGTATGTATACACATACACACTTACCTTTAAAAGTTAGAAGGCCTCAGGGTAGACCCTGGCCTAAGCCACCAGCTTTTCTTCTTTCTTCATCTTCTGATTTCTCTAGTTGATGTCACCCAGTCCCACGGCTTTAAAATCCACCTACTTATTTGTGGATGACTCCTGGTTAAAAGAGAGGAAGGGAAGTGCTTAGTGCGATGCACTGGCAATGAAGGACCACCCGTTCAGGCTTCATTTGAAGACACAACCTTAAAAGTGAAATTGCCGGGTTGGCTGGCTCACGTCTGTAATCCCAGCACTTTGGGAGGCCAAGGCAGGCAGATCACAAGGTCAGGAGTTTCAGATCAGCCTGACCAACATGGGGAAATCCCTGTCTCTACTAAAAATACAAAAATTAGCCAGGCGTGGTGGTGCACACCTGTAATCCCAGGTACTCAGGAGGCTGAGGCAGGAGCTTCAGCCTTGAACCTGGGAGGTGGAGGTTGCAGTCAGCCGAGATCGTACCACTGCACTCCAGCCTGGGCGACAGAGCGAGATCCATCTCACGGAAAAAAAAAAAAAAAGTCAAGTTGGGGAACTTACAGCAAAACTAAAAAAGCTTTTTCCAAAGTGAAGAGTCCACATAAAACATGTGGACCAGAGTGTGAAATTGAGTATCCTACCTTCTTCATTTCCCACTGGGAGAATTTAAGAATATAAACATGCTGCCTGGACCCACATGTGAGACAGCTGGGCTTCTGTGTAGTTATAGATATACTCTAAACATCACTAAGGCTAGGGCTATGTTCTCAACCGGGGAGTGGTTTTGCCTCCATGGAACATTTGGCAACTGACTGGAGATTTTTTTCAGTTGTCAAAATTGGAGGGGAGGCCGGGTATTGTGGCTCACGCCTGTAATCTCAGCACTTTGGGAGGTGGGCAGATCACCTGAGGTCAGGAGTTAAAGACCAGCCTGGCCAACATGGCAAAACCCTGTCTCTACTAAAAATACAAAAATTAGCTGAGTGTGGTGGTGCCTGCATGTAGTCCCAGCTACCCAGGAGGCTGAGGCAGGAGAATCAATTGAACCCAGGAGATAAAGCTTGCAGTGAGCTAAGATCAAGCCATTGCACTCAAGCCTGGATGACAAAGCGAGACACTGACTCAAAAAAATAAAATAAAAAATAAAAATTGGACGGGAGATGCTAATGGCATCCAGGTAGAGGCCAGGAATACTGCTAAACATTCTACAATTCACAGGACAGCCATCCAGACATTATCTGGCCCCAAATGTCAACACTCCTGAGATTTAAAAACCCTGGGCTGAGGATAAGTCCTTTCTCTTGCCTGTCCCCTCCACCCTCCCATTCTATCCCGCTTTGGAGCTCTCATCCCTTCAATGATGTTCTAATTTAAATACTTATGACTCTATCAGTTTAGACAACTACTTTTCACAGTCTAAGTCTCAGTTTCTGTAGTAGCTAACCTGCAAAGATTGCCTCCCATAAAACACACCTCTTGTATTTATGCCCTCAGATAGTCCTCTATCCTTGAACCTGACTCATTTTAACCAAAGGGATGCCGCAGATGTTACACAAAGCTGGATCTGGGCCTAAGCCTTAGGAAGGCCTGGTGGCTTCTGCTTTTGGGGGCGTGAAGGTGCCATGTACGAAGTCAACATGGAGAGGCCATGTAGACAGAGAGAAGCTCTGAAACTGCATGAGGAGAGAGAAAGGACCTGTGTCCCAGCCGAGCCCAGCCTTCTGACTATTCCTGTCAAGGCATTAGACAAGCCCATTGAGCCTCATGGTAACTGTAGGCAATGCAGACATCCCAAGGAACAGAGGAACTGCCCAGCTGAACCCAGTCAGCTCACAGAATTCTAAGAGGTAACAAAACAGCTATTGTTTTAAGCCAGGGAGTTTTGAGATAGTTTGTAATGCAGCAACAGACAACTGAAACTGTTACCTTATCTCTCTACAATGAAAAGATGGTATGAGATCAGATTTCAAATTATTTTTAGACTCAGAATCCTAAACAAAATCTTATCTGGAAGCACAATATATGTATATCTGTGAGGAATGCTTTTTGAGACGCAAGGACAGAAAACTCTGCACTGGTTTAGACAATAGTGGCTTCTTCCTCACATGGCAAGAAGTCTGGAGCCAGGTGGTTGCCGGAATTGGTTCAGTGACTCACGGAGGTCAGAGCCAATGTTTCTGAGATTCCAGGCATTCCTGTGCTTACAGCCACATGGTCACAAGATTGCTGTTGTAGTGGCAGACATGATGTTAGCATGGAAGGGAGGAGGAAGACAGGAAAGGACCATATCAGCCACATATGTCCCTTTTTAGTAAGAAAATAAAAGCTTCCTAAAAACTTTAGCAGCAACTGCTAAAGTGGCTTATTCTCACATTTCATGGGCTAAAACTGGGTCATATGCCAATCCATAGCTTCCAGGGAGACTGAGAAACTGAGGAAGAGGATTGTCATGAATGACCTTGACCACACTCCATAGCTTGAAGTTGAGCCCATTTCCCTGCACACAAAAATCAGGGTCAGGAAGAAAGAGTGAGGGAAGGGTTCTGAGCAATAAATAACTAGCTTCTGAAACAATGTAAAAAAAAAAAAAAAAGCATAAAATGCAGTTAATCTGATTGAATTAGGGGAGATGGGGCATGTATTTCTATCAGCTCAGCTCCTCCTCTTTCCTGGCTATTTCCCGCTATATCCTGGATCCCAGGGGACTCCAACAAAACCCCAGTACTCCAGAGACCCACGTCTAAAAATCACTCAACTATATCTTAACAAATCTTCCTGCTCTAACATTCTGGAATCTGTACAGTCAATTGATGTAATTTCTTGTCGTTATCAATTTACATACTTTCTATATGGTGGGATAAGCATCTTAAATTTTACCACCTGTCTCAGATTGTGAGAGCTCCCCTTTCAGTATCATGATATTTCATTGTCATTCTTTCATTTATCAAGGTCCTTTAGGAAACCCTCATATCTCTCCCAAGTGTAAAACCAGTAACAGAATAAAAAATATTTTATCGGCCAGGCGTGGTGGCTCACGCCTGCAATCCTAGCACTTTGGGAGGCTGAGGCAAGTGGATTGCTTGAGCCCAAGAGTTTGAGACCAGCAAGCTGTGATCAAGCCATTGCACTCCAACCTGGGCTACAGAGGAAGACCCTGTCTCAAAAAATATATGTATATATTTTTTTCTTGATCATTGTTCCAGTGATCTTCACAAGTACTCTGTGAGGTAGGTATTATTACTCCCATTTTACGGATGAGGGAATGAAACTCAGGAAGACAAGAAACTGGACCACATTTACACAGTTCTGGAACTGCCACCCAAATCATCTGAGCCCATATCAAGAACTCTTTGTACTTACTAAATTCTACAATCTCAGACAAGCATCACGCCTGTAATCTCAGCACTTTGGGAAGCCGAGGCAGGTGGATTGCTTGAGCTCAGGAGTTCAACACCAGCCTGGGCAACATCAGAAAACCCTGTCTCTACCAAAAATACAAAGCAATAGCCCAGCATGGTGGTGCATGCCTGTAGTCCCAGCTATTTGGGAGGCTGAGGTGGGAGGATCGCTTGAGCCTGGGAGGCGGAGGTTGCAGTGAGCCGAGATTGTGCCACTGCCCTCCAGGCTGGGCGATGGAGGGGGGACCCTGTCTCAGAAAAAAGAAAGAAAGAAAAAGGGCTTAAGTTAATATTTAAAAATGTAAAAATATATTAAAAACAGAGGAAAAAAATTCTAGAATTCCTTCCAGTACCTGGGAGTAGAGTAGAGAAAAAGTCAAATGAGGTTTTTGCTCTCATGGTATTTATTTTCTAGATGAGAAAAACACTAAAAAGCACAAACTGGGGCAAGTAAATAAAGCCATGACTCTAGCTAGTACATTAAGGAAAAGATACAACAGGGCAAAGTGTTGAAAGAGTACTGTCAGGATAGGGTGGGAGCTCCTCTCAGCCGGGTTATTGGGGAAGCTTCTCCGAGAAAGTGGTCATTTGTGCTGAGAAAGTCTCAGCCATGAGACTGGGGAAAGAGCTCCAGGTCATCATGAAGAACTTGCGTATCTGAGGCATTTTAAGGAGACCACTGTGGTTGGACTGGTGGAAGGTAGGGAGGAACTGAGGCCAGAGGAGAGGTGAGAGAGGAGAGTGGGAGCCAGCTTGTTCATTTGTACACAACTGGTTACTTCACAAAGCCCACCTTCCCCAGGATGCTATTCAGAAGATGCACTCTGCTTTCACTTTTATCTCCTTTGAGGATCAAGAACTAGAAAGTTCAGACCCCATGATGCAGATTCTGGAACCTAGTGGTTTTCTAAAAGTAGGCTTGGAAGAGAAATGGAGACAGAGAGTCAAAGGATGAATCTTCCTAATCATCTTTCTTTCTTTTTTCTCATTTAGAAGCTGGCACTGACTAGATGAATCATTGTCTTTGCAGCTAAGAATTGCTGCGTCAAGAAGATATGACACTTTATTTTATGGGGCATACACTCCATCTGTAATATATCTCTCCTGGGGTTAGGGAGCCAGTGCAATGATACATGCTCCAAAATAGGCAGGAAGAGTCCTAATGTTCCTAGTTCCACAGCTTCAGAATTTATGGGATAAGCCCTGGCTTTCTATTAGAAACCAACAAATAGAATTGATAACTTTAAAATCCCTCTAGGGTAAGGCAAACAAATGGATTGATGTGTCTGCCAGCAATTAGCAATACCACAGCATTATTGCCCTAATAAACTTCACATAAGGCGTTTGGGTGTTTTTTTTTTTTTAAATTAAGATAAAGACTGGAATTAGAAAGTTAGATGTGCTCCTTTTAAGCTAGAGCACCAGAAAGCTTCCACAGACAAGGAGAATATTTTAGTGTGCAGGTGAGACCTGGAACCTCCACAGGGATTCCAACAAACCCCGAACATCATTTACAAGTTTTCTTTTTTTTGGGATGGAGACTCGCTCTGTTGCCCAGACTGGAGTGCAGTGGTGCAATCTCAGCTCACTGCAACCCCTGCCTCCTGTGTTCAAGCGATTCTCCTGCCTCAGCCTCCCAAGTTGCTGGGATTACAGGCACCTGGCACCACACCTGGCTAATTTTTGTATTTTCAGTAGAGACGGGGTTTCATCGTGTTGGCCAGGCTGGTCTCGAACTCCTGACTTCAGGTGATCTGCCCGCCTTGGCCTTCCAAAGTGCTGGGATTACAGGCGTGAGCCACCGTGCCCAGCACAAGTTTTCATAACAAGACACTGGGAAAGAAACTGGAGGTAAGCACCTTTGCCCTTTGATCAGAGGGCTAAGATACTTTTTTAAAAAGTTCAACATGATGGTGGTATAACCTGAAACAAACCAATGACTGAGGGGTTGATACTGTGCAAGCACCATCCTCACGTGCCTGCATACCTGACGATAATTGCTAGTGTCCCTTTACTGAGATGAAAGGTCACTAAAGACCCTCAAATGTTAAATACCTTGACCAGTGTCAATATTTTATTCTGCAGTCCTCAATGGAACAATAGTAAGCCATACAATAAGATGATGATGATGATGATGATGATGACGACTACTATGAAAACAATAGCTTCTGCCATTCACTGAGCATGTATTATGTGCCAGGAGCCTGACATGTTTTATCTCATTTAGCCCTTACAATACCCATGTAAGGTGGATAGTAGTATAACAGATATTATTATTATTATTATTTTTGAGATGCAGTTTCACTTTTGTTGCCCAGGCTGGAGTGCAATGGCATGATCTCAGCTCACTACAACCTCTGCCTGCCTCCCGAGTTCAAGTGATTCTCCTGCCTCAGCCTCCCAAGTAGCTGGGATTACAGGCACACGCCACCAGGCCTGGCTAATTTTGTGTAACAGATACTATTATAATACTGCGTGGTGTTACAATGCCCATTAAACTGCAAATAAAGCTGAGTCTAAGTGTTCAGTAACATTCCCAAGTTCACTGAGATACTTAGAGGAAGATTTAGAATTTTATGCTTTTGAATCTAGAGGATGTGAACTTAGTCACTACGCATTCAGACTCTCAAACAGCAGTTGTGCCAATATGATCAATTTTCTGTTTTTAAAGGTCACTGGAGAGCAGCCAGATGCTTCCACTGAAGCCGCTTCTCATTTTCAGTGAAGGGTCTTTTGCTTATCTGTTGCCCAGTGGCATAATCACAACTCACTGCAGCCTCTACCTTCTACCTTCCTGGATTCAAACACTCCTCCCATCTCAGCCTCTCAAATAGCTGGGGGCTACAGGCACATCCCACCATGCCCGGCTTTTAAATTTTTTTGTAGAGACGTAGTCTCATTTTGTCTTCCAGGCTGATTTTGAACTCCTGGCCTCAAGATATCCTCTCACCTAGGCCTCCCAATGTGCTGGGATTACAGGTGTGAGCACCATGCCCAACCTAATTCAGTTGCATTTCCAAGTTCACAGGTTCACAGTAAAGAAATATGTCAGGCCCAGACAGAGGCAGCCTAAAGTATATTCTAACTTGGTTGGCTAGTAGTCCATATTCCATGCCATATGGAAAGGCCAGTTTGCACATTGCTTGTTTTCTAGGAAAAATGCCATGAAAGAGTTCAAGCTTCTTAACAAAACAAAGGTAATCGCAGTAAAATTTCCCGTTTGGAAGGAAGGAAAGAAGGAACGGGAGAGGAAAGGGAAGAGGAAGAAAAAATGAAGAAAGGAAGGGAGGGAGAGAACACTTTCTACAGCATCCTAATGCACATCCATGGGTTGTCCTAAACCTCATTTAGGTTTCTGCAATGTCTAACAAAAACATTCCTAGGCTAGAAGAATTCTTGGCCGAAGATCAAGGGAGACGCCCTTCTACCTATCAGCCTCTGATCAATTAGTTCTTTTTGCAAGGTACTGAGAAACCAACTCAGGACTCCAAAAGATGGACATCAGTTAGAAAAGTTTTCATCAAAGCCCTTTTTATTTTCCACTCAAAATGCCATTAAGTAATATATTGGAACACAGACCCAGTAAACCTTCTCAGGTGCTTCCCCTCTCCTGGTCCATGCCCCCCATTCATGTGGGTCACCGTTCCATTCCCAGGGTGTGGGATCTGCTTCCTGAACTGTTGCCAAGGGGATGGGTTACACAACAGGAAGAGAGGAGGTGTTGCTCCTTATGGGCGTAAGCCTCGGCCAGTGGGAACAAACCAACGGGAAATGCAAGATAGGAGGGTGAGGAGCAGATGGATCTCCCCTGTTTTTCCTCTCCCAGGGACTATTTCCAGTCATAGTTCCCCTCTGCAACCCTTGCAGAAAGAACTGTGTGCAAACCAAACAAGCCTGCTGAGCGGCCCACGTGCCTCCTCATGACTGGCTTGAGATAGAAAGCATCACCTTGCTTCACATATTTCCTTGCCTGGCTTGTCTTTTGCCCTCACCATCTCGCTGGGTTTGAAACTCCCAGATCAAAATTGTAGTGCCTTCCTCATGACTGCACAGATACAGAACAAACTCTTTGAGCTGAACGGCTATTTGACCAAGTTCTTGCTTGTGGGATGTGAGCAGATGTGATATATGCAAATTCCAGAAAATGCCCCTAAAAACAAGCAAGTTTATACCTCTCCCTCAACACCCCTTCTCTCTCTATCATCCTCCTCCTCCCTTTCCTTTCTCTTTCTCTCTCTTCATCTATCGCCACCCCACACAATGGCTGAGAATTGGCAAGAGTTGGAACAATCTTGGATGCTATATATCAGTGGCATAATGAACCAGTCAATACTGTGTTTTTAAGTGAAAGAGACACAAACTTTTATATTTAAAATAAAATTGGACTGGGTGCAGTAGTTCATGCCTGTAATCCCAGCAGTTTGGGAGGCTGAGGCAGGAGAATTGCTTGAACCTAGGAGTTCAAGACTAGCCTGGGCAACACAGCAAGAAGACTCCATCTCTACAGAAACACAAAACAAAATGAACAATAATAATAATAATAATAATAATAATAATAATAAAATTGCATTAGGCACCTTAAGCTTTGCCTCAGGCTCTACTTTCTAAAGAACTCAAGCCAAAGCCAGTCTTAATTTGTATTTTGTTTGCCAGCTCTCTTCTGGTGAGGACCCTTTTTGTTTTTTGTTTTTTGGTTTTTGTTGAGATGGGGTCTTCCTCTGTTGCCCAGGCTGGAGTGCAGTGGCACAATCATGGCTCACTGCAGCCTCAATGCCGTGGGCTCAAGTGATCCTCCCACCTCAGCCTCCCAAGTAGCTGGGACTACAGGTGTGTACCACTGCACCCGGCTAATTTTTGTTTTAATTTACTTTTTGGTAGGGACAGGGTCTCACTATGTTGCCCAGGCGGGTCTCAAACTCCTGGGCTCAAGTGATCCACTCTCCTTGGTTTCTCAAAGTGCTGGGATTATAGGCATGAACCAACACACTCAACTGAGGACACTTTTTTGAATTCTACTAGAAGTCCCAGCTAAACTAGAAGTGCTGCTCTGATTTAGGAGGGCAAGTACATCTGAAAATAAATTCTTCCATGGTCGAGCATAAAGACATAACTTGGACCCAGCTTTTCCCTCTGCTGGATGACTTTCTTTCATGACTGAGATGATCGGCAGATGACATCTGAATGCAACTTCTTTCCTTCTCTTTGGAGTATTAGGCAGTTGGTTGCCTCTATTCTCAAATAGAAATATGACAAAGACAGAAAGTATGCTCAAATTCTCATGATGTAGAGAAAGACAGAAGTCTTAAGAACTTCCCAGGCTTTTATTCTCTTCCTGGTAAAAATTTTTAAATTAACTCTTAGGAATGAGCTAGCCCAGGCCTGGCAGTGCTATCTTTAGTGTTCAACTCTTGCAACATTAAAGAAAGACCCCTACAGAGCAAATGGCCAAGGCCTTGGCCAGCTGAGGCAGGATCAACCAGAAGTCCCCTGGCAAAATATCTAAATCTAAGGGCAATATATCTGGAAGTAGAAATTAGGTGGATTACGAAGACGATATGAGAAAAAAAAAAAGCCCCAAACATTTCCCTCTGATCCAGCAATTCTTTTAAGAATTTGCCTTAAGGAAATTATTAAACAGTTAGGATTACTATAAAATGATACTTACGATAGAGTTGTTCATGTTAATATAATAATACAAAAAAACCCCACAAATTAACAGAATATGCTGTTAGAAACAGTTATATAAATTCTAGTATATCCACGTGATGCAATACTAGGTTGTCATTCAAAATGATGATAGAGATTTCTATTTTTTGACCAGGCGCAGTGGCTCATGCCTGTAATCCTAGCACTTTGGGAGGCTGAGGTGGGCAGATCACCTGAGGTCAGGAGTTCAAGACCAGCCTGGCCAGGATGGTGAAACCCCATCTCTACTAAAAATACAAAAATTAGCTGGGTATGGTAGTGCATGCTTGAGTACCAGCTACTCAGGAGGCTGAGGCAGGAGAATCGCTTGAACCCAGGAGGCAGAGATTGCAGTGAGCCGAGATCGCACCACTGCACTCCAGCCTAGATGACACGGCAAGACTCTGTCTCAAAAAAAAAAAAAAAAATTATATTTCTCAAGCTGAAAAAGAAGCCCATGATATATATTATTTGACTTTTTTTAAAAAATGTTACTAAATGCAGTAAGATGGTGTCTGTATTCTAGAATAATCATTCTTGAAGTGTGGTCCCTTGACCAGCAGCCTCAGAGTCACTTAGGAACTTGATAAAAATGCAAATTCTTGACCTCATCTCAAACCCACTTAATCAGAAACTCTGACAGTCAAGTCCAGCAAGCTGTTTTAATCAACTCTCCAGGTGATTTTGAGGCATGCTAAAGATTGAAAACCACTGGTTTAGAACAAAGAGGAGGTTGCTAAAACATATTTGCAGGGGATAAGTAAGAGCCTTGTCTCCCCTTTGTTATTCTATGTTATTCTAACAAAGCCCAGTACCAGGGGTATTAGGTGGAATGGTCAGTAATAGAAAATACCAGCTCAAATGGTCTTAAACAATTGGTCAATTTGTTACTTCACATAAACTTGGAATATGGCAGGTTCCAGATCCTGTATTTAAGACTCCACCTCCATTTGTTCTGATTCTTTCATGGATTTGCTTCATTTTCGGCTGGCAGCCAGATGGCTGTTGCAGTTCCAGGCATCACATCCAGACATACCACATCCGGAGGCAAAAAGGGGCCGTCTCTGCTGGAGTCTCTTTAGCACTAAAAAACCATTCCCAGGAGCCCTCCACTACAGAGCTATGCCAGTGTTCCTCATATCTCATATTTTATTAGCCAGCCTGGGTCACATGCTCATCCCTAAGCTAATTGCTGGTGAGAGGAATAAGAAAGCCCTGATTAGGGCTGGGCACCATGGCTCACACCTGTAATCCCAGCACTTTGGGAGGTTGCGGCTGGAGGATCACTTGAGGTCAGGAGTTTGAGACTAGCCTGGCCAATATGGTGAAATCTCATCTCTACTAAAAAATACAAAAATTAGCCAGGTATGGTGGCTCGTGCCTGTAATCCCAGCTCCTCAGGAGGCTGAGGCAGGAGAATTACTTGAGCCCAGGAGGTGGAGGCTGCAGTGAGCCAAGATCGCACCACTGCAGTCCAGCCTGGGGCGACAGAGAAAGACTGTCTCAAAAAAAAAGAGAAAGCCCTGATTAGCTTAGATGAAACAAGATTCGCCCCTAAGCTAGGGATAAGATCACCTTCCCTGCTGAACATGCTGAACAAAACTGAGGTCCTGCTAGAAAGACAGAAAGGGAGAAAATGGCTTTTTTTTTGACAGAGCTTCGCTCTCGTTGCCCAGGCTGGAGTGCAGTGGCGCAATCTTGGCTCACAGCAACCTCTGCCGCCCGGGTTCAAGCGATTCTCCTGCCTCGGCCTCCCAAGTAGCGGGAATTACAGGCATGTGCCACCACGCCTGGCTAATTTTTCTATTTTTAGTAGAGACAGGGTTTCACCATGATGGTCAGGCTAGTCTCGAACTCCTGACCTCAGGTAATCCACCCACCTTGACCTCCCAAAGTGCTGGGATTACAGTTGTGAGCCACTGTGCCCAGCCTGAAAACAGCTTTGGGGTAAAAAACAAACTGCCTGCTACATTTGATCTAGGCTCAAAACAGCTTTTCTGTATTTTTCTATAAAACCCATGACTGCCACAAGTAACTTGTTAGGTGTGTTTTAAAAAATGGAGGTTGCTGGGTTTGTTTTGTTTTGTTTCTAGCCATTTCCTGTTTTGGAAATGACTCTTGAGTTTCAAGAGGAAGAAGAATTATGTCATACAAGGTTTTCTTTCTTCTTTTCTTTTAAGGCAGCTTCAAAGACTGACAATACTCCCGGCCCCTCCACTGTCTGGGCCGCTGTGCAACCTTCCAAGTGTGAAGTGACAGCCTTGTGTGTGATCTTTCTGCCTTCCCCAAGTTTGCATTTTTGACATTAAAGTTTACTTTTTAATTAAAAAAAAAAAAAGACTGACAATACTATGTGCTAGCAAATTGGTACAAACACTTTGAAAAACTCTTTGGTATTATCTACCAAAGCTAAATATTCATTTATCCTATGCCCAAGCAATTTCACTCCTAGGAATTCTGAGAGACATGTGTGCATTGGTGTGCCAAAAAAAAAAAAAAAAAAAAAAAGTTCATAACAGCTTTCTTCACAACAGCACCCAACTGGAAACAATTTACATATGTATAAACAAAATACGGATCGATCAGTTGTGGTAGAGACATACAAAGAAATAGGACACAATACTGAAAACGAACAAGGTGCGGCTACTTCCAACAGCATGAATGTATCTCACAGATACCAGATCAAATGAAAGAAGTCAGACATAAAATAACAGATACCATATGATTCTATTACATGAAGTTCAAAAACAGGCAAATTCAATCTAAGGTGATGGAAGTCAGGAAGAGTTGTTACCTACACTGAAAAAGAAAAATTTCAAAGGTGGTCTTGCCTCACCAGACCAATAGATTTTATAATCAAAGCAGTGCAACGGGTGCAAAAAAAAAAAAAAAAAAAAAAAAAAAAAAGACAAATAGACTTGTGGAATAAAATGCCCAAATATAGATTCAAATTGAAATGAACACTTTTAGCGTATGATAAAGATGGCACTTCAAATCACTGGGGCAAAGACAGATTTTTACTAAATAGGGCTGAGAAAAATGAATAGCCACTTGTAAAAGATAAAATTAAATGCATATTTCCCATCACGCACAAGAATAAACTCCAAATGGACCAGGAAGCTAAATGAAAAAGGAAAAAATAAGTAAAACTATACATATACTAAAAGAAAACATGGGTGAATTCCTCATTAACCTTAATGTAGGGAAAGACTTTATAATGACTCAAAAATCCTGAGGCAGTAAAAGAGGGATAAATTTGACCGCATAATGTGTATTTTGTCACACACATTAACAATTATGTATGACAAAAAGACAACTGGACAAACCTAAAGAAAATATTTGCAATATGTATATATAAAAAAAAGACTAATATCTCTAGCTGGGTGTGGTGGCTCACACCTGTAATCCTAGCACTTTGGGAGGCTGAGGTGGACAGATTGCCTGAGCTCAGGAGTTCAAGAACAGCCTGGGCAACAGGGTGAAACACCGTGTCTACGAAAATAAAATAATAAAAAATATTAGTCGGGCATGGTGGTGCACGCCTGTACTCCCAGCTACTCAGGAGGTTGAGGCACGAGAATCACTTGAACCCAGAAGGCGGAGGTTGTAGTGAGCAGAGATCACGCCACTGCACTCCAGCCTGGGCAACAGAGCAAGACTCTGTTTCCAAAAAGAGAGAGAGAACATTTTGAAATTAGATTAAAACTAATAAAAGAAGGGGAAAGACACATGGACAGACAATTCAGCACAAAAAATACATATGTACAGATGGTCCTTAAAAATACATATGTACAGATGTACAGTTGACAAGATGTGCAAACTGCCCCCCAATTAGATAAATGTAAATTAAAACTATATTGAAATACCATTCCCCACCTGCTAGATTTGTAAAAATCAAAAGGTATGACACCCTGGGCGTGGTGGCTCACTCCTGTAATCCCAGCACTTTAGGAGGCCAGGGTGAGCAGATCACTTGAGCCCAAGAGTTTGAGACCAGCCTAGGCAACATGGTGAAACCCCAATCTCTTTAAACAATATAAAAATCAGCCAGGCATGGTGGCGTTCACCTGTGGTCCCAGCTACTCAGGAGGCTGAGGTGGGAGGATCACTTGGGCCTGGGTGGTCGAGGCTGCAGTGAGTCATGATCAAGCCACTGCACTCCAGCAGGGGTGACAGAGCGAGACCCTGTCTCAAAAAAAAAGTATGACAAATCATTCTGATAGCAAGATCATAGGGAAATAGACACTGTCATACACTGCTGATGGAAATACATGATAGTACAATCCCTACAGAGGGGAATTTGGAACTACCTGACAAAACTACCCACTAACATGTTGAGCCAGCAATTCCCTTTCTAGCAATTCATAGTGGAGACACATTTCCAACAATATAAAAATACACACAAATAATTACAGCATTGTTTGTCATTGTAAAATATTGGAAACCACCTACATGCCCACAGATGGGATACTGGATGAATAAACTGAAGCACACTCACACAATGGAGTATTGTGTTGCTGTAAAAAGAGAATGAGGAAGCTCTCAATGAACTGGTATAAAGTAATTTCCAATAGCATGTTTCAAGTGAAAAAACAGAGTATCTGTAGTAGGCTACCTCTGTGTAAGAAAGAAGGAGATGAAAGGAAATATACAAGGGATGGACACCATGGAAACTAATGAGACTGATTAACAACAGAAAAGTGGAAATGGGGTGGAAAGAATGGGGAAATGGGAGTGGGGTGGAACATATGAAAGGAGAATGACATACTTCTGAGTATAGTTCTAGATTCCAGAATCATGGTAATGTTTTACATCCTAAGGAAATAAATACATAATTGAAATCAACCAGAATGTAGGGAGAAAACAAACAGAATACAAACATTAACAAATAAAACTGAGACACCACTAACAATAATCACTGGGTGTAGGGGTTGAGCAAACTAACCTAAGTAAATTTAGAACACAATATTTTTTTTTTGCTACGTATTACAAGACTAAAAAAATGTACACAAATATTGTATTCTAGTTAAATTTTATCTTCAGAGGGGTATGGATTACCAACTCTGAAGCTATGCTATGTGTGTTCATGTGCCACCACACCCAGCTAATTATTAAATTTTTTGTAGAGACAAGATCTCACCATGCTGCCCATGATGATCTTGAACTTCTGAGCTCAAGTGATCCTCCCGCCTCATCCTCCCAAAGTGCTAGGATTACAGTCATAAGCCACCACGCCCAGCCAGAACCACAGTTTTATAGACATAGCTACACAGCTATACAGATAGATGTAGAAATAGAAGTAGATGCGTGTGTATGTTAGTATACACATGTATGTGTCCAAGTGCTTTCTGCTCAAAGGACCTAGAAGCAACAAAAGAAATGACACCTCACAAGCAATGAGCCCAGGTCTGTCTCTATGCCATTCCCCAGTGAAAATAATAAGGGTGTCTTGGCTGCTCACAGTGGCTCATGCCTGCAATCCCAGTACTTTGGGAGGCCGAGATGGGAGAATCACTTGAGGCCATAAGTTTGAGACCAGCCTGGTCAATGTAGCGAGACCCCATCTCTAGTTTTTTATTATTAAAAAGAATAAGAGCTTCTTAAAGAAATGATTGATTCCAGCACTGGGGCAGGAAAAGCACAAGACGAGTCTGGAACATCTTATGGTTGCAGAAAGTAGACACAGGAGCAAGCATGAAGGCAATCCCAATGACCAAAGCTGGGACAATGTGAGCAACAAACACTGGCAGTGATGGGTTATAACACAAAAAATAAAAGAAAATAACCGTGAGTACAGGCTGACACTAAATGAATAGTTGGTAAATAAATATATAACATATATAATTATAAAACAATTTTAAATGTACTTATTAAATTATATTTAGTATATAAAATTTAAGTAACACATTTAAATATTAAGTATATAATTGAATAAAGAAGTAAATGGGGGCTGGGCGCGGTGGGTCACGTCTGTAATCCCAGCACTCTAGGATGTCAAGGCGAGCAGATCATTTGAGGCCAGGAGCTGAAGACCAGCCTGACCAACATGGCAAAACCCCATCCTAAAAATACAAAAAATTAACCAGGCGTGGTGGCGCATACCTGTAGTCCCAGCTACTCAGGAGGGTGAGGGACGAGAATCACTTGAACCTGGAAGGTGAAGGTTGCAGTGAGCTGAGATCGCGCCACTGCACTCCAGCCTGGGTGAAAGAGCAAGACTGCCTCGGAAAAAAAAAAGTAGGCCGGGTGCTCACGCCTGTAATCCCAGCACCTTGGGAGGCTGAGGCGGATGGATCACTTGAGGTTCAACACCAGCCTGGCCAACATGGTGAAACCCCGTCTCCACTAAAAACACAAAAATTACCCAGGTGTGGTGGCGGGTGCCTGTAATCCCAGCTACTCGGGAGGCTGAGGCAGGAGAATTATTTGAACCTGGGAGGCAAAGGTTGCAGTGAGCTGAGATCACGTCACTGAACTCCAGCCTGGGCAATAAGCAAGACTCAGTCTTTAAAAAAAAAAAAAAAAATTAAATGGGGAGAAGGGATACCTCTTTCTTACAATAGAATTCCAATTCATAAATGTAGAAGGAATGATCAAAGTAGAGAACCACTATTTGGCAAACAGCAATAATGGGTGCTAAAATTAGTAGGTAAATGTATGATGAGTAACAAGATATTTGCATCATTTCAAAATATCTCCCAACAAGATATTTATTAATTAGAAAGGCAGAAATAATAACTTTAAAGTTGAGAGATCTGGAAGATATCGCCTTTATCATGTGATCAAGGCTAACATCACTACCAGTGAGACATCATCATGTACCTCCAGATAGTAAGCACTAAGAAGGGCGTAAGATCTCTGTCACAGCATTGCCAAAAATGCATAGCCTGAATTTAATCATGAGGAAACATCACACAAACTTAAATTGAGGGATATTATATAAAATAACTGACCAGCCTCTTAAACTGTCATAAAAGACAGGAAGGACAGAGGAACTGTTCCAGATTGCATTAGGCTAAAGAAACATAACAACAGGATACAATGTGTGAACCTGGCATTGATCCTGGACCAGAAAAAAAGATATTCGTGGAAAAATTGGTGAAAGGTCTACAAGGTCTATAGAATTCTATTGACGTTAATTTCCTGGTTTTTATAAGTATTTCATGACTTGGGAAAGGTGAGTGAAGAGTAGGCAGGGATACTTTATACTACTTGGCAATTTTTTTGTAAGGCTGAAATTATTTCAAAATGAAAAGTTAAAAAAAATTTAAATATTAGTTATCCTTGGAGGAAGTACCAATTAGGAAGAGTATGAGAAAACCTCGGTGCTGGAAATATTCTCCATCTTGATCTGGGTTGGAGGTATGTGGTTGTATACTTTATTTACTTACTGATATTTTTATTTTTATTTTTTGAGACAGAGTCTCATTCTGTCGTCCAGGCTAGAGTGCAATGGTGCCATTATGGATCCCTGCAGCCTACACCTCCCAGGCTCAAGCGATCCTCCCACCTCAGCCTCCTAAGTAGCTGGGAATACAGGTACATGCCACTATGCCCAACTAATTTTTTTTTTTTTTTTTTTTTTGGAGAAACAAAGTCTCTCTATGTTGCCCAGGTGGTCTCAAACTCTTGAGCTCAAGCAATCCTCCCTCCTCAGCCTCCCAGTGTTGGGATTATAGGCATGAGCCACTGCATGCTGCATGTGTACATGTTTAAATTATGCAGAGCACTGAACACTTAAGATTTATGCACTTTGCTATAGGTACGTTATTCCTGAATTTTTCTAAGTGTTGATAAAAACCTACACAGATTTACTTCAGCCAAGTAAAGTTAAAGAGTAAGGCTGGGCGCAATGGCTGATGCCTGTAATCCCAGCACTTTGGGGGGCCAAGGCTGGTGGATCACCTAAGGTCAGGAGTTGGAGACCAGCCTGGCCAACATGGTGAAACCCTGTCTCAACCAAAAATAGAAAAATTAGCTGGGCATTGTGGTGGGTGCCTGTAATTCCAGCTACTCAGTAGGTTGAGGCAGGAGAATCTTTGAACCCGGGAGACAGAGGTTGCAGTGAGCCGAGATAGCGCCACTGTACTCCAGCCTGGGTGACAAAGTGAGACTTCATCTCAAAAAAAAAAAAAAGTTGAGGAGTAAGCTCAGTGATTTACATTGAGCTAGGCTCCATAAAAGTCCAGAAAACTGGATGCAGCGGCTCATGTCTGTAATCCCAGCATGTTGGGAGGTCAAGGTGGGCAGATCACTTGAGGTCAGGAGTTCGAGACCAGCCTGGCCAACATGGTGAAACCTTGTTTCCACTAAACATACAAAATTAGCCGGGTGTGGTGGCATTGATCCTTCATGACCTAATAGCAGAGGAAATTATAGTACCATTCTAATTTTTTTTAAAAGATAAGGAAACCAAGTCTCAGGGAAATGAGAAGACATTGGCCCCCCAGCCAGAAACTGGCAAAGCAAGCATTGCCAAGCTGGCTGTGTCTAACTTCCAAGTCCAGAACGTTTCCTGCATCCCACATTGCCTCAAACAGGAAGATTTTGACTTTTATTTTTTAAAAAATGAATTCTGAGTTATTTTCTATAGCTGTAATTGTTAAAACCTGAACTCTGGTCACATTTAGCTGCATGCTATTTTTAAAAAACCACAAAAAGGAACAAGATAATGTCCTTTGCAAGGACATGGATAGAGCTGGATGCCATGATCCTCAGCAAACTAACGCAGGAAAAGAAACTGAAATACCCCATGTTCTCACTTGTAAGTGGGAGCTGAACAATGAGAACACATGGACACATGAGGGGAAACAACACACACTGAGGCCTGTCAGGGGGCTGTGGGGATGGAGAGCATGAGGAAGAATAGCTAATGGATGCTGGGCTTAATACCTAGGTGATGGGTTGATCTGTGCAGCAAATCACCATGGCACATGTTTACCTATGTAACAAACCCGCACATCCTGCCCATGTACCCGAGAAATTAAAATAAAAGTTGAGGGAAAATATGCCTAATTAAAGAAAATTTTGGACACTTAGTTCTTTTTTATTTAAAAAAGAAAATGAGACTTCAAATATTGGAAGAAAAACCTCAAGTCCAGCTTTTATCAACTAGACTTTTTTTTCTCCTTTGGCTAACTTTTGGGTTTCACTTCATTAACTTTCCCTTTAATTTAAGTTGATCTATCACTAATCATAACAAGATAATAGAACAAGTTCAGATAGACTCACTGCCAAGTCAATGGACAATGACTAATTTCTTAGCAAAGTGCTTCTTTGTATTACTTTGCCACACATATTAGAAACTGGTCTATTGCACCTCAAACATCTTTTATTGCAATTAGTCCAGGAATCCGGAAATCACCTCAATGGATTCATGGATTCACATAGTTTAGCTGTGTCCTCTGTGGGCTGCCTATTGTTTAAGACCACCAGCCTTAAAATCTGATATACCTAGTGCAAGTCCTGGGTCTGTTGAGTTGTTGTTGTTGTTTTGTTTTTTTTCCAATGGTATACCTTGGGCAGTGTATTTAACTTCCCTGAAATCTAATTTTCTTATCATTAAGGTGAGATAACTATTACTCCTTACTGTCCTTGGGTTGCTGGAGGAATAAATGAGATAAAGCCTGTAAAACACTTCGCATATTCCTTGGCACGTAATCATTGTTAACTATTATTATTATCTGACACTAATCTAAGCTGACTGGTATTATATTCATTGTTCAATTGCTCATTCCAGGCGGCTTCACTGAGGACCTACTATGCACAAAACACTTTGAAGGATATCCTTTTATTATGTCAAAGCAAAATAATTTTACTCTGGAATTCATTCTAAAGACGGTGAATGTCACAGAAACAGAAAACCAAATACTGAATGTTCTCACCTGTAAGTGGGAGCTAAACATTGGGTACTTATGGACATAAAGATGGCAACAATAGACACTGGGGACTACTGGCTGGTGGAGGGAGGGAGTAGGGGCAAGGGCTGAAAGACTGTTGGATACTATGCTTAGTACCTGAGTGACAGGATCATTCATAACCCAAACTTCAGGATCACATCATATACCCAAGTAACAAACCGGCACTTGTACCCCCTGAATCTAAAATAAAAGCAGAGAGAAGGGAAGGGAAGGGGAGGGGAGAGGAGGAAGGAAAGAAGGAAAGTTGTTGAGTGTGTGTCTACAAAGTACCAGCCATGGTATCAGGTGTGGGGAAAACAGTGGCAAATAAGACAAAGTCCCTGAGCTCCTGATGCTTATGTTCTACTGAGAAGAAATAGACAATAAACAAGTAAACAAAAACACAAGATGATTGCAGTCAGTGGAGAAGGTAAAACAGGTTTACGTGATGGAGAGTGCCTGAGGGAGCCACTGGTTGTCTATGGAAGCCTCTCGTTTTCTGCCCTTTCTGCCCTGACCTCTCTGATTGCTTAACTGCTCGAGGAGCTCGAGCAGACACATTGGAATGGAAGTAGGAGACACAGATGGAAGGGGCTTTGATACTGGGCACCATTCTTTCTACACCAGCTTCTCTTGTCTAAGCCACTGTTATTTTGTGGTTTTGGCCCTCATCATCTAGCTTAATAATAACCAAAACAGTTACTTTCTTCTGAGGACATTTCAGCTCCCAAAATAAACAAATATGAAAGTCTGGAAGAAATTGAGAGTTTGATTCATAAAAGTAGAATGTCAGAAATTACAAAGTACAGTAGTAACAATTTAGGTATATTTTGTGAGTATCTTTAATTAGCATTTATTGATTACTAATTTGTAAAGCATCATTCATATTCTTTTAAACATCACAGTAACTTTGTAAATTACCTACCTTGAGCCTCATTTGAAAGACAGACAAACATAATCCGAGCAAACAAAAAACTTCTTAAATAAGTGACTCAGCCAAGATTTGAACCCAGGTATGAGTGAGCTTTGGGTCCAAATGCCTAACTCCTTCCTCATACCATCTCTAGAGTTAACAGGAAAGTAGAAATGAACTGAAAAGATAGAGGCACGTGACAGAGATAAAGGAAGTATCAAATAAATGACATGCATAAAAGGAGGTGAGAGCAAGAAGGACGATGGAAATGAAGAAATGGTGAAGGCCACGTACATGGTCCTCTCGCTGGTGACTTGTTCTAAAATTGTGTGGCTGGAGACAATCATACACATTACAAATGAAAGCACTGTCTTATAATCTAAGGGTACTACCCAGTGCAGGATTTCCTACCTAGGAAAGAAAGCACTCAAGCTTTGTTCTATGGCAAGGTATGGCTTTTGGGCCAAGATGTGCCTGAAGTCTGTTTTTATAAATAAAGTTGTATTGACACAAAGCCATACCCATTCATTTATGTGTTGTCTCTGACTCTTTCACACTATAACGGCAGAGATGAATAACTGCAACAAAGACCTTATGAACCTCAAAGCCTTAAATATTTACTATCAGGCCTGATACAGGAAAAGTTTGCCAACCCCTGATCGATGATATAGCTGACAATCCAAAGATCTCCCTGGTTATACTATTGCAAGCTCTCCTAACACATCAAGCTGAAGCATTGGGAACAACAATCTATTTCCTCTACTTTTTCCACTTTTGAACATATACTATTCAGGGGAAATGCTGAACTTCTATATCCTAATGAAAACTTAAATTAAATTCTCAGCAAAACCAAATCCATTCTGACTCCCCTCCTATGTGTGAGTGATCCATTTAATTCCCAGTATCTCTGAGACCGTACCAGGAGACACTTCCTGAATCTTGTCAGCATACGTTTTCATATACACCTGCTACCTTGCTTAAAAACATGACAGTAGCTTTAATTAAGCTTAAATCCACTGATTCAATTTTTATTAAATCATAATAAACTAAAGCAAAAGAAAATAGGGAAACTTGCTACAGGGAAGATGGCTTGTAGAATGTCATTGGTAAATACAGTGAAAAAGGGCATCTTGGCTATATTTTTGAACTGGCAGAAAACTGCAGTGGTTACATTATTCAGGAGTAATATAATACTCTCACACATTCCCGGAGGGCAGAACCTGGGGTTTTAATCATTTAGTAGTGCACTTGCATCGAATCTTGCAGATTTGTCAAATGCCATAAATGAACCACGATTTCATCTATTTTGCTCTTTTGGGGCCCGCTCAATTTTTTATCCACAGCATGAGCATAGAAAGTTGGGAAGAGAAAGCATCTTTCCCAAGAACTCCCAAATCTCCAGGTTCTGGCCAAGCTGTTTGAGAAAGAAGTTGGCGATGGACTTCAGATACCTCCTATAATCCAGGTTTCCCAGAAGCCTATGAAACCGCCTTTGTGAAGATTATGACAGTGAGAAAGTCTAGCATGGCTGACTCCTTCTTGCTTCTAGCCTCACAGGCTGGCTGTCCTCGCTTATTCCCAGGCACAAGCCAAGCTAACCATGGGAGGAATTTACTTTATGGTTTAACATTAAAGAAAGGATGATAATAGTCCTTCCCTAAAACTGACACTCTCCTTGTTCAGGGACTGAAACTGCCTTTGTAAGACTAATGAAAAGCCACAGGCTGGGCAAAGTGGCTCATGCCTGTAATCCCAGCATTTTGAGAGGCCAAGGCAGGAAGATTGCTTGAGCTCAGGAGTTCAAGACCAGCCTGGACAACAAAGCAAGACTCCATCCCTACAAAAAATTTAAAAATTAGCTGGGCATGGTAGTAAGTGCCTGTAGTCCTGACTACTCAGGAGGCTGAGGCAGGAGGATCACTTGTGCCCAGGAGTTTGAGATTGCAGTGAGCTATGATCGCATTACTGCATTCCAGCCTGGGTGACACAGCAAGTCTCTGCCTCAAACAAAACAAAACAAAACAAAACAAAACAAAACAAAACAAAGGCCTCAAGATTAGAATTATAGGAGTGGCTTGAATTTTGCTAAAAATGTAAGTGTAGCTTGCCCCTCTATAATTGGTTACTGTGCTGGAGGTCCTACTTCCCCAATTGCTTCTATAGATAACATCACTATTGTAGAACCTAAGGTTGGTCTTTTGAGATGTTTTTCAAACTTCTGCATTCTAGTGACCAACTGACTTCACTTGGACCCATGGCTCATGATAGCTGGTCCTGTGGTCCCCACCCAGAGGCTGATTCTGTGCAAGAGGATCATTTTCCACATTCCTATAATTTCATCCCCAATAAATCAGCAGCACACATTCCCTATCCCCCGCTAGCCAAAGTGTCCATGAAAACCCCAGCCTTTGAATTCTGACAGACTAAATTTGAGTAATAAACTTCCCATCCTTCCATTTGGCTAGCTCTAAGTTAATTAAACTCTTTCTCTATTATAATACCACTGTCTCAGTGAATTGGTTTTTTCTGCACAGTGGGCAAGATGAGCTCATTCGGTGATTACACCTCCTTTAAGGCAGGAGAAGCAGAAATAACTGCAACATTGAAATTTTTTCTGGGCCTCTAATGGGAACCACTTTTGGTGATGTTTGATTTACATGCTTGGTTCACAGTGGCCATGTGCATCTTATGACGCTTGCCTCGATGTGATCCTTTTCCTGTGTAATTTCAGCCATGTGTCATTTCTGTTTCTTCTTGGCTTTAGTCACACTATCATAAGGCTTTCCGGGGTAGGGGGAAGTGTACAATCAATCTCCCTGGGGATTATTCACTGGGTGGATTATACATGGTGTGTTTCTTATCCCAGCTGGAGTCTCACATACCACCAAACATGAGCTCAGCAACACACTCCTCCATCATCTTGTGTGTTTGGGAAACAAAAACCAGTTTGAATGAGTTAACTCTGGCATCCACCTAAGAAAAACAGTAAAGCTGGGCAATTAAGAGGACAGAATTTAGCAGTAAGACCAACTTGATTCCAGACATCAGTTTTGCCTCTGCCTGGCTGTATGGCCTGAAGTCACTTAACTATTCTGAACCTCTGTTTCCTCATTTTAAAAATAGTCTGGCAATACTCAGTTCCCAGGCTTGCTGAGGGTTAAACAAGTACACACATACAGAGAATTTAGCTTAGACTAGAGAGGTGAAGGAGAAGGATTGCTTGAGCCCAGGAGTGTGAGTTCAGCCTAGGCAACATAGCAAGATACATCTCACAAAAAAAAAAAAAAAAAAAAAAAAAAGAAAGAAAGAAAGAAAGAAAGAAAAAAGATCTTTAGAATAAATGTTCATGAAGAAGACTAAATTTTCCTCTGAGAAATTTTGAAAAAAAATCAACAAAGCAATAGCAATATGACCAAAAGACATTGACAGGTCACAAAAAAAAAATATAAGGGTCTCTTAACCATATAAAAAGACATTTAATCTCATTTTTGTTTTGTTTTTGAGACAGGGTCTCACTCTGTTCCCCAGGCTGGAGTGCAGTGGTGCGATCATGGCTCACTGCAGCCTCAACCTCCCTGGGCTCATGTGATCCTCCCACCTTAGCCTCCTGAGTTTCTGGGACAACAGGCACATACCACCACAGCTGGTTACTTTTTCTATTTTTTGTAGAGACAGGGTTTCACCACGTTGTCTAGGTTGGTCTCAAACTCCTTGGCTCAAGCAGTGCACCCACCCCAGCCTTTCAGTGCTAAGATTACAGGCGTGAGCCAACACACCTGGCCTAACCTCACTTTTAATTAGAAAAATCCACATCAAAGCTATGCAGGGATATCATTTTTTTCCCTATCAAGTTGGCAAAAATCCAATCCAAAAGTTTTACAACATATCTTATAATCAATAGGAGAATTAAGCACTCTCATCCATTGCTGGTGAGAGTCCAAAATGGTGCAACGCTTTGGGGAGCTGATTGGCAATCCCTATCAAAATTACAAATGCATTTATTTTTTTACTCAGCAATTTCACTCCTGGGAATTTGTTTTACAGCTAAACCTAAACCAGCACTATATGAAGTTTCAGATACACCCTTGTATCGATTGTAGAGTTGTGTGTGAGCCAGAGGCTGGGAATACCCAAACACTCATCTAGAGATGAGTGGGTGAATAAGCCACAGTACTTCCATACAATATTCACAGCTATGAAAAAGAGAATGAAGTTCCCTATGCCCTGTGAAATGTCACAGGAAAACAATTAAGTGAAAAAGGTAGCATGCAAAACAGTAATATAGTATGCGAACTTCTACGTAAAAGGAGGGAAAATAAGAATATATTTATATCTGCACAAAAATAAATACCAGAAGGCTCTGCAGAAAATTAATAAGAGTGGTTACATACAGGAGGCCGAAGGGTAGTAAATTAGGTAGGTTGGGTCAGGAATTAGAGTAAGACTTTTGATTCCACTTTTATTTTTGAACCATGTGACTAAATTATCAACTCAAAAAATTAAATCAAGCTAAAGAAAATGATTAATGTCTTCTAAAATGAAAAAAGACTTCCAAAATCAGTTGGAACTCATATTTGAATTACCTGTCATTTTGGATATACTGTATTTATGGCCCCTTGCTGGGTTGTAAACCTTGAAGATGGAGCATGCCTTATATAAACATCACTATAACCTGGGTGGCCAGCCATATGTCTTCCTCTCCATCAGAGTTAAGTGAATACTTTTTACTAAACCAATGAATACATGAATGAACTTGCGGCTTTCAGGTGCAGAGACAATGATCATTAGCTGACTATCAGAAAACTATCAAACAGTCAAGAAATGACATGAAAACAATGAAATTTTTCTTTCTTTCTTTCTTTCTTTCCTTTTTTTTTTTTTTTTTGACAAAAGACAGAGTCTTGCTCTGTCACCCAGGCTGAAGTGTAGTGGCACAATCACTGCTCACTGCAGCCTCCATTCCCAAACCCAAGCAATCCTCCTACCTCAGCCTCCTGAGTAGCTGGGACCACAGGTGTGTACCACCACATCCAGCTACTTTTTATATTTTTCATAGAGACAGGATCTCCCTATGTTTCCCAGGCTGGTCTCAAACTCCTGGGCTCAAGCAATCCACCTACCTCGGCCTCCTGAGTAGCTGGGACTACAGATGGTGCACCACCATACCTGGCTAATATTGTTTATTTTTTTGTAGAGAAGGGGTCTTGCTATGTTGCCGGGGCTGGTCTCAAACTCCTAGTATCAAGTGATCCTCCCTCCTCGGCCTCCCAAACTGCTTCAGTTAGAGACATGAACCACCATGCCCCGCCAAAATGTTCATTTTTATAATGGGAAGTAGAAAGTAGACCCACTGAAGAGCTCGACAGAAAAGGAAAAAACCCAACAACTATAAATGTATTCCGTCTCTGAACTCTACAAACTACTCTAATCCAGTTTCCTCTGGGGGACTACATTTGAAACTGAAACCCAAACGCAACAGCAGCGCTTTCTTGACAAAGCTGGAAAAGTCCACAATTCTGCCGCTGTTCCTGTCAAACCTGAGGAGTGCCTTGTTAGGTCAGAGAACAAATTTCTAGACAGAACTTTCGACTCTTTCCTCATCACCAATTCCCTTAATAAGCATCGGGGGGAAGATCGTCCCAAACAGATGACTGATAAGATGTTTCCTATGCCCAGAAGACAATAAAAATTTGTTCATCCACACTTTTACTTCCTGGATCCACAATAATTTATTTTAAAATGTCATCTCCCTTACTGCAGGGTGGCTGATTTATAGATTAGGCATCTGTTTCATATAAAGGTCCCCAAATGGAACAACAATCTTATGTTTTAACAAAACAGAGAACTCGTTTCATAAATCACTTCCAGCCTATCTGGTATCTCACACTGAATATCTTTTAAATCCAAGCAGATTTCCTTCTCTTCAGAGCTTGTCCTGCAAGTTGCTATCAAGAACAGGAAAGCACACATATACTTCAAGCTGTTGCAAGACTCCAAAGAAGTGTGGTGGCTCATGCCTGTAATGCCAGCACTTTTGGAGGCCAAGACAGGCAGCTTGCTTGAGCCCAGGAGTTCAAGACCAGTCTGGGCAACATGGTGAAACCCCATCTCTACAAAAAATACAAAAATCAGCCGGACATGGTGGTGCGCACCTATGTAGTTCAGCTACTCGGGAGGCTGAGGTGGGAGGATTCTTTGAGCCAGGGAGGTGGGAGCTGCAGTGAGCTGTGATCACGCCACTGCACACCAGCCTGGGTGAGAGTGAGACCCTGACTCAAAACAAAAACAATAACAAAAACAAAGAAGCAATAATAAATCTAGAAATCAGTCTCTCTCTCTTTATTTTTATCCTATAATAAAACCATTTTAAAATATTTTCAGGATGAAAACATTTAAGATAGTCAATGTCCTCAGAAAGCTCCTAACCCAGAAATTTGCAAACAAATGGAATTAGTTGGTCACTCCCTATTGCCTCGCCCACAGCAGACATGCCTAATTCATTGATCCTTTCCCACTGAGCTTGCTGAGGCCCTGCTGTACTTCTCAACCCAAAGTTCCAGGCAGCCTCTATCAGGAACAGCAATTAATATGCAGGATGGAATAATCCAATTCAATCACTTTTATGGTAGCAGAACTGAGAAATAGAAGAGGTAAAAGACATTGCCAACATCACACAGTGAATCAGCGATGCACCTGAAATATATTCTTAAGTACTGGCTCTAGCATTCTTCTTTGCCTACACCACCACATGACTTACATTACCGAGGTCAAATTTGAGTTTGTTCTATGTCTGTGTGTGATCTTTGTTTTACAACAGAGCAATTCTCCTTTCTAAAAAAAAAAAAAAAAAAAAAAAAAAAAAAAAAAAATCCTTACACATCAAAAAAAACATATGCTGCTTTCCAAATAAAGAATTTACTTGGCTGGGCACGGTGGCTCATGCCTATAATTCCAGCACTTTCGGAGGCCAAGATGGGTGGATCACCTGAGGTCAGAAGTTCGAGACCAGCCTGGCCAACATGGCAGAACCCTGTCTCTACTAAAAATACAAAAAAATTAGCTGGCCATGGTGGTGGTCGCCTGTAATCACAGCTACTTGGGAGGCTGAGGTAGGAGAATTGCCTGAACCCGGGAGGTAGAGGTTGCAGTGAGCCAAGATGGCACCATTGCACTCTAGCCTGGGCAACAGAGCAAGACTCTGTCTCAAAAAAAAAAAAAAAGAATTTACTAATCATTCCAATACAAATGATTTGGTAGCTGCTGGCAGCCCGCCACTCTAAATATCATTTTGTTTTAGCAATAATCTTCTTTTCTTATCAAATATGCTTCTTCCTCAATACAGGAGGGATAATTGTTATTAAACAGGAAAAGACTTTTCATTTGGGCTAACAAACGACGAAGTGATGAGCAGGGATGCATGGACAATACCCTCCATCACAGTTGCACAGCAACACGGTGAAGCTGTAGTGGCTCTTTCATCAAATTGTTACCAGGTTTATTAAATTTTTTAACCGGGCTTTATTTTTTCTTTCGCTTCAACCAAAATTTCTTAGAATTACACAATGTCAGAGCCAGATGAGACCTTATAATTCATCTGATTAAACAACTACAAAAATGTTGGAGAATCCAAGAAATGATTCAACCAGCATAACACAGGTAGGGCTCAGATCTCATGATTCTGAGCTCCTTCCATTTCAGGGTCCCACAATACTGAGGTCAAAGTGAGGATTTTCCTGTCTAGGAGAAAATGTAAAACATACTTAGTTCTCAAATCAATGCTTTTCAAACTCTAATGTGCATATGGATCACCTGGGGGATCTTGTTAAGCTACTGATGACGTAAGTCTGGGATAGGGCCTGGGAGTCTGCATTTCTAGCAGCTCCCAGGTGATACTGATGCTGCAGACCCATGTACCAGTGTTCTGTTTAGTCCAAAGAGAACCACCTGGTTCTAGCAAAGAATCTTCATTAGATTTCTAACTAATGAGTCACACACAATCACTGTCAATCAGGTTATCTCATGTTGCATATAACTGAAATACAGTTTACATGGTAATGGGGGTTTATAGGGAGAAACTGGCTAATTAAATGAGTTGGGTTTGATAAGGTACAGAAGGAAGTAAATTCATCTCCCCCATTGCTATCTTCAAATTTTCTCTGTTGTGTTTTCCTTCCCTACCCCAACTGAACATCCAGGGCAGATTGCCTGGCATCTCCAAAAACATTCAAGTAGTAACAATCATTTTCAGGACTACAAATGTCCAATGTAGCATAATAGCAAAACTTCAGTTTCTCATCCAAGTAAAGCTTTTCTCTCCAGCAGCTCAGACCTAACCCCAGATGAGAAAGCAAGAGGGATTTGTTGTTTCTTTCCTTGTTCTGCCTTCTCTCTCTCTCTCTCTCTCTTTTAGCCAGAGCCTTGCTCCATCTCCGAGGCTGGAGTACAGTGGTGCGATGTCAAGTCACCGCAACCTTCGCCTCCCAGATTCAAGCAATTCTCCTGCCTCAGCCTTCCAAGTAGCTGGGATTACAAGTGTGCGCCACCACACCCGGCTAATTTTTGTAATTTTAGTAGAGATGGAGTTTCGCCATGTTGGCCAGGCTGGTCTCAAACTCCTGACCTCAGTGATCCGCCTGCCTCAGCCTCCCAAAGTGCTGGGATTACAGGTGTGAACCACTGTGCCTGGCCTTTTTACCTTCTTTTTTAACCACTCTCTGATACTCCTATACCCCATAGGATTGGGATTGGGAGTGGGAGAGGAGCTTATGGAAGGGAACAATATGTTCTCACTGAACTGGTGATATATCTCAAACATTGCCTCTTTTCCTACTGGGGCAGTTTTATCAGTCTTTCGAGACTCACCATCCCCCACACCCCCAAACTAGGGACTTCTTTTTTTTTTTTGAGACAGAGTCTTGCTGTGTCATCCAGGCTGGAGTGCAGTGACACGATCTCGGCTCACTGCAACCTCTGCCTCCCGGGTTCAAGCAATTCTCCTGCCTCAGCCTCCCAAGTAGCTGGGATTACAGGCATGTACCACTGTGTCTGGCTAATTTTTGTATTTTTAGTAGAGATGGTATTTCACTATGTTGGCCAGACTGGTCTTGAACTCCTGGCCTCAAGTGATCAACCTGCCTCAGCCTCCCAAGTAGCTGGGATTACAGGCATGCACCACTGTGCTTGGCTAATTTTTGTATTTTTAGTAGAGATGGTGTTTCACTATGTTGGCCAGACTGGTCTTGAACTCCTGGCCTCAAGTGATCAGCCTGCCTCAGCCTCCCAAAGTGCTGGGATTACAGGCGTGAGCCACTGTGCCCAGCCCAAACTAGGGACTTCTTATGGTGGCCAATTTCCTTAGTAAATGCATTATTTTGCTGACTTCTTATGTGGCCCTTCCTGGCCTACTCTAGTGGTACAGCCCATACTGCCACATTCTGCTACACTCTTCTGCAGAGTGGGGTTCTTTCAACAGATTAAAACAAGGCTACCATGCCAACAGGGCATCCACCCTCTTGGTTCAAAGCTCACCCTATAGGCTTTGCCACCACAATGTTCCCATCAGCCTCTCACCTTCAGGCTTTTCCATATAAGTCAGGTTTCCTCCAAAGTCTGGGAAACTATTCAAGCCCTTCTAAGAACATTTCCATTGTGCCCTAGTGGATGCCATGTTGCCAGTTTAAAAAAAAAAAGTATCGACCAGGCACGGTGGCTTACACCTGTAATCCCAGCATTTTGGGATGCTGAGGCAGGCAGATCACTTAAGGTCAGGAGTTTGAGACCAGCCTGGCCAACATGGTGAGACCCCCATTTCTACTAAAAAAAAAAATACAAAAATTACCTGGGCATGGTGGTGGGCACCTGCAATCTCAGCTACTTGGGAGGTAGAGGCAGGAGAATCATTTGAACCCAGGAGGCAGAAGTTGCAGTGAGTGGAGATGGAGCCACTGCACTCCAGCCTGGTGACAGAGCGAGACTGCCTCAAAAAAAAAAAAAAAAAACATGAAAAACTGTACAGAATGTTAACCTATGGGGTTTTAATTTCTAGAGCTATATATCTGTCATCCAAGAAAAGGTTTCCAGAGTACAGAATAGCTTTATATTTTCAATAAACTGACACATTCTACTAGCATAATAATTGGGTACATGGCATTCATTTCAGTTAATTAGAGCAATTGAGCATATACTAATTTCCAGGCACTCCTTGAAGTGGTAACACAGTAAGATTGCTATGAATTGATGATAAAAGTATTATTAGAACTCTGGTAGCTGACATTTTCATTTTTCCCCATGGAAAAAATATATCATAAAGACCATTAATCTTGTGGTTTTGAATCCTAGAATTGTTCAAATGGTAGGACTGAAGCACATTTCTAGAATGTGATATGACTAGCTATCTTACATGATGGTTCCTGATCCTACCAGTGCTAGGGCTAGTTCACTTTTTTTTTTTTTTTGGAGACAGGGTCTCACTGTGTCTCCCAGGCTGGAGCGCAGTGGCACAATCTCTGCCCACTGCAACCTCTGCCTCTGGGGTTCAAGCCATCCCCCAACCTCAGCCTCCTGAGTAGCTGGGACTGAAGGCGCGAGTAATCACCCCTGGTTAATTTTTTGTATTTTGTGTAGAGCTGGGGTTTCACCATGTTGCCCAGGCTGGTCTCAACCTCCTGACCTCAAAGGGATCCTTCCGCCTCAGGCTCCCAAAGTGCTGGAACTGTAGGCGTGAGCCACTGCGCCTGGCTAGTTGATATTTAGTATTTCTTCATAGTCAATTCAACATAATAACATTTCTAGAGTAGACACCAAGCCCCAAGCACTTGGCAAGGAGGTTGAAACTATCTGTGTTGCAATGAGATTTCTCTTACACCAAACATTTATTAACATTCACAGATTCATCCACAGTGAAAATGATCATGGTACTCCATTAATAATTTGCTTTATATGGTCCTAATCAAAGGGACTTAACCAAACAAGCTAGTGTCAGTGCTTGCCTTGCCCACAGCCCCCTTCTAAGGCTTCTTTACACTTAGGTTGCACTCTTTTTTCTTTGAGATGAAGTCTTGCTCTGTCACCCAGGCTGGAGTGCAGTGGCGCAATCTCGGCTCACTGCAACCTCCGCCTCCCAGGTTCAAGCAATTATCCTGCCTCGGTCTCCCGAGTAGCTGGGATTATAGGCACCCACCACCACACCCAGCTAATTTTTATATTTTTAGTAGAGACAGGGTTTCACCATGTTGGCCGAGCTGGTCTCGAACTCTTGACCTCAGGTGATCCGCCCACCTCAGCCTCCCAAAGTGCTGGGATTACAGGCATGAGCCACTGCGCCTGGCCATAGGTTGCACTCTTGAGCCATGTGGGACTCCACCACTTAGCTCAAAACTGACTGAAACTGACAGCAGCACTTGAGCCTACAGCAGCCACCTGTAAGCTGGACAGTGCCCTAGGAGATGGTTCAGGACCAAGAATTTAAAAAGTCCATGGTCATTTCAATTACATTCTTCCCTAAGGATACCAACCAACTTCTTTTCTAAAGAATCAAAACCTGGGCCAGGCGCAGCGGCTCACGCCTGTAATCACAACACTTTGGGAGGCCGAGGCGGGCAGATCATGTGAGGTCGCGAGTTCGAGACCAGCCTGACCAACATGGAGAAACCCCATCTCTACTAAAAATACAAAATGAGCTAGGCATGGTGGTGCATGCCTGTAATCCTAGCCACTCGGGAGGCTGAAGCAGAATTGCTTGAACCCGGGAAGTGGAAGTTGTGGTGAGCCGAAATCGCGCCATTGCACTCCAGCCTGGGAAACTCTGTCTCAAAAAAAAAAAAAAAAAAAAAAAGAATCAAAACCTGAACCATCTTTTAGTCTCAACTTGTTCAAAAGCTGAAAAGGGTATGGAAGTGGGGAGTGAGAGGGGAACCTATAAGAGATGATCCCTGCCCACAACCATGCAGGGTACAATACACCAAAAATAAATGGTCCCTAAGCCTGAGAGCTTACTGTTAAGAGTAAAACACAAACTAACAAGGCACTGTAGGAATCTAAAATTTGTCATCTCTGTTTTTTGACCCAAGAATGCTACTTTTAGGAATGGATCCTAAGGAAATAACTAAACAAGTACCAAAAGATGTATGCATGGGATCATCAGTAGCAATGGCAGTTTTCATAAGAAAGAAAAAACTCAACCTAAATCAATAAGAGATTGGGTAAATAAATACATTTACATAGTGAACTATCTACCTACATATTATTATAGAAAGAACTCCATGATAGATTTAGCCAAAATAATGTTTATATAATGAATCATATACAGTATGTAGTTATATATATATTTTATAAGAATATAGGCTATAATGTTAATTAAAATGATTCAGCTTAAAGGAGAGCTTTTGCTTTCTAATGTATGCTTTTCTGTGTTTCCAATAGTTTTTACTATGTTATGATACATTTGTAATCAGAAAAAAGATAATTAAAAAAATAAGTAATGAGGCCGGGCATGGAAGCTCATGCCTATAATCCCAGCATTTTGGGAGGCTGAGACGGGAGGATCGCTTGAGCTCAGCAGTTTGAGACCAACTGGGCAACATGGTGAAACCCTGACTCTACAAAAAACACAAAAATTAGCCTGGTGTGGTGGCTTACATCTGTAGTTCCAGCTATATCGGGACCTAAGGTGAGAGGATTGCTTGAGACTAGGGAGTTGAGGCTGCAGTGAGCCATGTTGGCACCACTGCACTCCTGCCTGGGTGACAAAGCAGGACTCTGCCTCAAAAACAAACAAACAAAAACATCAACAATAAACAAACAAATAATGGGCTAGGCCCAGGGGTTCACACCTGTAATCCTTTGGAGGAGGAGGAGAAGGGAGGATGGCTTGAGCCCTGGAGTTTGAAGTGACAGTGAGCTATGACTGTGCCACTGTACTCCAGCCTAGGTGACATAGGGAGAGTCTATCTCTTAAAACAACAATAAACAAAACCAAACTAATAATGATGCTATAAAATGAAAGCCCTAGGCCACCACAGTGTCTCATGCCTGTAATCCCAGCACTTTGGGAGGCTAAGATGGGCGGATCACCTGAGGTCAGGAGTTCGAGACCAGCGTGGCCAACATGGTGAAACCCCATCTCTACTAAAAATACAAAATTAGCTGGGCATGGTGGTGCATACCTGTAATCCAAGCTACTCAGGAGGCTGAGGCAGGAGAATTGCTTCAACCCGGGAGGCGAAGGTTGCAGCGAGGCAAGATGACGCCATTGCACTCCAGCCTGGGCAACAAGAGCAAAACTCCATCTCAAAAAAAAAAAAAAAAATTTAAGCCCTAGTTTTTTTACTTTGTATATGTCTTTTGTGAAGAACCTACAATATACTAGATTAATGCATCCAAAAGGAAATGTAATGAGTCACAGATGAAATTTTGTATTTTCTAGTTCCTAATAATATATCTTATGCAGCCCAACGTCTAAAAATTATGATTTCAACATATAACCAATATAATGACACTGAAATATTTACATTCTTTTTTTCCTAAGTATTTGAAATCCTCTGTGTATTTACATAGAACATTTCAATTCAGACCATCTTTCAAGTGGTCAATATCTACACTTGGCTACTGTATGGGATAGTGCAGTTTTTTGTTTTTGTGGGGTTTTTTGTTTGTTTGTTTTTTGAGATGGAGTTCGCTCTTGTTGCCCAGACTGGAGTGCAATGGTGCCATCTCGGCTCACCGCAACCTCTGGGTTCAAGCAATTCTCCTGCCTCAGCCTCCCGAGTAGCTGGGATTACAGGAATGTACCACCACGCCTGGCTAATTTTGTATTTTTAGTAGAGACGGGGTTTCTCCATGTTAGTCAGGCTAGTCTCGAACTCCCAACTTCAGGTGATCTGCCTGCCTCGGCCTCCCAAACTGCTGGGATTACAGGCATGAGCCACTGCGCCCGGCAGTAGTTGTTATTTTTAAGGAGGATAATTTTTAAACTTTTAGGTGCATAATTTCTGAAGTTGTTTGATTCTGTTTAAATGATTGTTAATTAATATTATTTTGGTAATCTTTGAAAGACTGTTGCTAGGTTTTTGGTTTGTTGCATTTTTTTAAAGAAAATGCTGGTGTAATAAATACTTTTTCCTGAACAAACACACCTTGGGTGAACTCTTACCTCTCTATTTCTCCTTTCCTTCTCAGTTGTTGACAGGCAGGGTCAAAAGTCAGAATCTTTAGTAGATATATTTGTTGCCGGTCCCTGGAAGGAGGAGGGGCGATGGACAGCAATAAAAGGTCACATTTATCAGAGGTCCCTTACTGCACCACTAGAAAATGACTGCAATTATTATCAGGGCTCCCTGAATAATCAAAACGACATATATCAAAGGTCTGACTCATTCTGAAGAGTTACTCCCCTCCCCTTTTTTGTTTTTTTAGTGTTTTACAAAGAGTAGCACCACCAAGGGGATAGTTATATTATCTGACCATCAACAAGAGGGGTAGGCTACAATAGAGACCACAGAGCACAGTGAAATCAGGCAGATCTGGGCTTGGGTGTCTCTGGGCTTCCATATCCTCAACTGTAGAGCAGAGATTATAACACACAACCTATTTCAAAAGATTCATTTTTAAACAACTTTGTATCAAGTGTATAATACATAGAGAAAAGTGTACACATCTTAAGTGTAAAATACAAACTTCACAAATTAAATATACTCGTGTGACCATCACCTAGATCAAGAAACAGAACACTCTCAATACCCAGTAGCCTCCTTCTCATCCCTACCCTCTGTGTTACGTTTCTACTGCAATGTAACCTGCTACTACAAATTGAGTAGCTTAAAACAACACAGATTTATTATCTCAGTGTTCATGGGTCAGGAGTGCGGGCACAGCTTAGATAGATCTCAGGTCTCACGAGTTAGCAATCAAGGTGTCAGCCAAGGCTTGGGTTCTCATTCAGGACTTGAGCTCGTTGCAGTTGCTGGCAGAATCAGTTCCTTATGGCTGTATAACAGAGGTCCAGCTCCCTTGCTAGCTGTTGGCAGGGGCCCACTCTCAGCTCCTACAGGCTGCCCAGTTCCTTGCTGTGTGGTTCCTGCCCCCATATACAGGTCACAACTGTGGGTCCCTTCCAGGCCAGAAGCACCTTGTTTGTCACTGTGACTTCTGTCTCTGACCTCTAACTGCTCATTTTAAGAGCTTGCCTGATTAGGACAGGTCAACCCATGATAGTCTCCTCAGTGATTAGGGACCTTAATAACAGGAGGGATACCCCACTAAGTCACAGGTTGCACCTGTACTCAAGGGACAGGGATTATATGAGGGAGCAACCTAGGGGGCAGGTATCATGTCCCCCACCTTAGAATTCTGCCTGCCTCACCATCCCCTAAGACTAACCACTACCCAGTGTCTAACAGTATTTTTCAAACTTCATAAAAATGGAATGTTTGTGAAATATACTCATCTTTTGTATGTAATTGCAGATGATTCATTTGCATTGCTGCAGAGTGTTCCACTGTGTGAATATACCACAATACCATAATTTATTTACCCTTTTAAAGGTTGATAGTTAAACTAGTTATAATGTATAGATTTTTTTAATGAGTAGGAAAGACAAGGAAACAACTACCTCTCAATTAGGAGTTGCAGAATAAAAATCATTTTAAGCATATGCAAAGAATTTGAGACATGAAAGAGTTTTACATATCATCTTAGAGAAAAAGGTGGTGTTTGGTAAGTTTTTAGTTTTTTTGTTTTGAGACAGAGTCTCGCTTTGTCACCCAGGCTGGAGTGCAACGGCATGATCTTGGCTCACTGCAATCACCACCTCCCAGGTTCAAGCAATTCTCCTCCCTAAGCCTCCCAAATAGCTGGGATTATAGGCACCTGCCACCATGCCTGGTTTGGCTAATTTTTTTTTTTTTTTTTTTTTTTTGAGACAGACTCTTACTCTGTCACCCAGGCTGGAGTGCAGTAGCATGATCTTGGCTCACTGCAACCTCTGCCTCCCAGGTTCAAACAATTCTCCTGCCTCAGCCTCCTGAGTAGCTGGAATTACAGCCGTCCGCCACTACGCCCTGCTAATTTTTGTATTTTTAGTAGAGACAGGGTTTCACCATAATGGCCAGGCTGGTCTCAAACTCCTGACCTCAGGTGATCTGCCCACTTCAGCCTCCCAAAGTGCTGGGATTACAAGTGTAAGCCACCGTGCCTGGCCTAATTTTTTCCATTTTTTTAATTTTATTTTTTCGTAGAGACAGGGTTTTGCCATGTTCCTCTGGCTGGTCTCGAACTCCTGACTTTAGGTGATCCACCCACCTCAGCCTCCCAAAGTGCTGGGATTACAGGTGTGAGCCACTATATCCAGCCAACATTAATTTATCGTCTCAGTTTTTGCAGGTCTGAAGTCTGGGCATGGCTTACCTGGATTCTTTGCTCAGGGTTCTCATAAGGCTGAATTCAAGGGGTCAGCCAGGCTGCATCCTCATGTGGGGCTTGGGGTCTTCTTCCAAGCTTATATAGATGCTTGCAGAATTTGATTCCTTGTGTTCCTAAGACTGAGTTTCCCACTTCTTTGCTGACTGTCAGCTAATGTCTGTGCTCGGCTGCTAAAGGGCCCCACGGTTCCTTGCTGAGCGCTCCTCTCCGTAGGCGGTTTGCATCACCACTTCAGAGGAGCAGGGAAATCCCTCCACGTGAAGTTACTGGCCCTTTCGAAAGGGGCTCCAGCATGATGAATTTAGGCCCACTCAGAATACTCAGAATAATGTGCCTTTTAATTAACTCACAATCAACTAAGAAATCAGTCAATTGGCTGGGTGCAGTGGCTCATGCCTGTAATCCCAGCACTTTGGGAGGCCAAGGCGGGTGGGTCACAAGTTCAGGAGATCAAGACCATCCTAGCCGACGTGGTGAAACCCAGTATCTACTAAAAATATAAATGTTAGCTGGGCATGGTGGTGTGGGCTTGTAATCCCAATTATTTGGGAGGCTGAGGCAGGAGAATCCCTTGAGTCCAGGAGGCAGAGTTGGCAGTGAACCAAGACTGCACCACTGCACTCCAGCCTGGCGACAGAACGAGACTCCATCTCAAAAAAAAAAAAAAAAAAAAAAAAAAAAATATATATATATATATATATATATATATACACATATATATCAATCGATTAATCAATCAAGGTTGATGGGCATTTGGGTGGGTCCTATTTTGGGGCTGTTACTAGCAGTGCTGCTACGAACATTCTAGAACATGTCTTTTGGTGAACACATGTATTCATTTCTGCTCAGTATATACGGAAGAATAGAATTGCTGGGTCATAGGGTTTGCATACACTCAGTGTGGAAGATACTGCCAAACAGTTTTCCAAAGTGGCATTACCAAGCTGTGTACCCACCAGCAGCGTTAGAGCAGCCCACAAGACTGTTTGGACAGTTAAAAGATGAAATCATGATAAATAACTTAGGACAGAACCTGGGATATAGTAATGACTAAATAAAAGGATTTTCAATAGAAATTAATACTAACTGTTATTTTCTGCTACTCTGTTAAAGTCTATGGGGTGTGTATGCCCAGCTTATTCATATATCCCTAGTGGGTCGCCGAAATTTATTAAATAGCCAAAGGAACATGTCAATGTTGGCCTCTTGTCCAAAAACAGTTTCTTCAGACTTTCATTTACTTTCCTTTTCCTTGGCTCTTGCACCAAGGCACACAATAAGGGGGTACTGAGGGATCTCCAATGTTAATACCTGAAATTAGTCTTCATAATAGGCCTCACAGAGAAGGTGGTTTCTTTGGGCCTAGGAGCAACAGGCTATTAGGCTATACCATCCAGCCTACGTGTGTAGCAGACTACACAATCCAAGTTTGTATAAGTGCTCTCTATGATGTTTGAACAATGAGGAAATACTCTAATGCATTTCTCAGAAGGTATCTCCATTATAAAGCGATGTTTGACTTTATTTACATAGCATTTACATTGGATAGGTATTATAAGTAATATAAAGATAATTTAAAGTACACAGGAGGATGTGGCTGGGTGTGGTGGCTCACGCCTGTAATCCCAACACTTTGCTGGGGCTGAGGCAAGAGGATTGCTTGAGCCCAAGAGTTCATGCCCAGCCTGGGCAACATAGTGAGATTCCATCTCATTAAAAAATAAAAAATAAAGAAAAAAGTATACAGGAGGATGTGTATAAGTTATATGCAAATAATACTCCATTTAATTAAAGGGACTGAGCATCCTTGCATTTTACTCCCCACCAGGGTCCTAGAACCAATCCCCCTTGAATACTGAATGATGACTGGCCCTTGCTTTGAAACCTCATCTAGGGAAAGATTCTGTGTCCTTTTGCAGGGAATTAAGTGAAACTCAGGCCACATAGCAACAATGAAATGTTAATCTTCTATACTTAGCTATTTTTTTATCCAAGGGCTCAGACATGTTAATCAATTCTTCCTAATTGCTTATTAGCCATTATTCCTAATAGAGGGAATGAGTCACAAGCTTCAGCTGCTTGATTCAAACTCTTTGAAGGCCAACTCAAATCAAGAGAAGTAGTAATCAAGAACTAGGAACTCTGCAGACTAATTCTCAGATAAATCAAAGTTCTTGCCTAGGCCCAAAGATCTTTAGCAGTTGGCCTGGTTTCAAAAAAAAAAAAAGAAGAAAAAGAAGAAGATAGACTGATTTTAATCAGATGGTCACTGAGCCTAACTTCCGATTCCTCATTTGTAAAATAGGGCAACGGAGAGCATCTACATTATAGGGTGTCAATCATTCATTGATTTAACAAATATTTAATTTCTACTTTATACCAGGCTCTGTGCCAGGCAATTAATAAGTATTTCTTAGATGTTAATCATGTATCAGCTATTATCACTGTAAACACTTATTTGCATATCGACTATCAACCTTGTGGGACAATAACTGAAAAATGTGGTCTTAAGCTGGCTTTACACTCCCCTTCAGACTCACCCTATTCACATACATAATTTTCTTTTTCATTTCAAATACATAATTATATGCCCACTGTCTACCACTGGTGTGGAGCCAACTCCTCAAGCCTGAATCCTCAATTACTGTGGTCAGAGAATGCAAACTAATTTTATTATCAGCCTAAGTGCCTCAAAATTTAAAAGGCAAACATGCCACACTTCAAAGTTACAGGGGAAAGTTTTGGGGATTAACTGTCATTTTGATTATCTGCCCCACATTTCCCCTTCCATTAGCTAAGAAACATTAGGAGGCAGATCACTAGACACATCTGAAAGTGGACAGGTTCACTTTTACAGGAGAGATTCCATTTCCTCCTATACCCCCAGGCCCCCGCACCCCAGCTCCCAGGACTCTACGTGAAACTATCAGTGGGAAAACATTTCCAAAATGCTCTTTATCCCCATCCTCATAGAGAAGACCTCAAATTTGCTTTCAGCCTTATTCATATGGTTCAGGAACAAATATTAAATTAACATCAGCAGAGGAACAAAAGAAGGTTGCAGAAGCAAAAGAACAGTATTGAATAGAATATTCATCTCTGAATATTCATCTCTGAAGCCAAAATACTTGGGTTCAAATCCTGGCTGAGGATTGCCTGGCTTAGGGTTGCCAGATAAAATATAGGACACCCACTTAAATTTGAATTTCAGATAAACAACAAATAGTTTTTTAGTATAAATATATCCCATATGCAGATTTAAGACATATTTCTGCTAAAAATTTATTTGTTGTTTATCTGAAATTCAAATTTAACTGAGTGTCTTGTATTTTGATTTGCTAAGCCTGGTAACCTGACTCTGTTTACTAGTTTTGTGATCTAGGATAAGTTACACAAACTGTCTGTGTTTGTTTTCTCATCTGTAAAATAGGAACAGCAAAAGCATATTCTTCATAAAATGGTTTCAGTAGTCATTTTTGCTGTTCAACAAATGTGTCTGGTTCTCTTCCTTCCAGAAACATGGCAGGATAGCACTTCCCCATCTTCAAAGTTAAAGGAAGCCTGTGACTTGCTTTAGCCAAAGAAAAGTGAGCACAAGGGAAGTGTCATTTCCAGGTAAAAGGGTCCCCTATCCTACCTTCTCCTACCAGATCCAAGGAAGAGACAACTGTGAGGGAGAAATATACACATGAGGTTCTAAACATTGAAATCCAGGAGTTGTCACTGCAGCATAACTTAGCTCATCCTGACTGAGTGTGTTGTGAAGATTGCAAGAGTTAATAATTGTTAAGGATTTAGAACATGCCTGGCACATAGTAGGCACTATATACTTATTTATTAGGTTAATAAGAAATCTGCAACCTTTTCCTGGTACTAAAAAAGATTGAGATAGGCCTTGCTTGCTAGCTATCATTCAGCTCAGGCTGCCATAGCAAAACACTGTAGACCGGGTGGCTTAAACAACAGACCTGAATTTTCTCACAGTCCTAGAGGCTGGAAGCCTGAGATGAGGTTCTAGTGAGGGCTCTCTCCCAGGCTTGCAGATGGCCACCTCACTATGTGCTGGTCTTTCCTCAGGTGCATGCATTGCACATGTGGAAAAGGAGCAAGATCTTTCTCTTTTCCTGTTCTTAGAAGGCCACCAATTTTATTGCATTAGGACCCCACCCTTATGACCTCCTATGACCTTAATTGCCTCTTCAAAGCCTTCCCTCCAAGTACAATCATATTAGGGGTTAGTGCTTCAATATATGCATTTGAGGAGGAAACAATTCAGCCGACAGCATCATACAAGGTTTGGTAATACACACTTATTGTCCAGCTTTCCTTCTCCAGGCTTAAGAAATCAAATCTATCCCTTTTCCATAGTGATTGGTAATAAACTCTCTAAAGAGCAGCATTTAGCTTAGGGAGTCCCTTTAATCATTAGACAGAATGTTTATGCCTAAAACACTTCTGATATGGGTCCACTCAAATTGCAGCATGGGTTATAACAGAGCAGTGGACTCAATTGCAGATGACCAGGGCTGAGCAATCTGCGGAAGCCAGCCATGTGCACAGTAATTCAGAAAAGGCAGAGAAACCGGATCCAGGGGGAAAATCACAGGCAGTTAATGAGAATCAGATGCAATGTAATTCAGACCGCAGTGCACATCCTGATCTCTGGGCACAGGGAATTACATCCATAAACAGACCAGACTTGATTTTATGCAGCACTTTCATTCCCCAAAGAATCCCAAAAGCCTTCCAAAAGCACACTCTTGTTACTGGTAGCTCAGTGGTGTGGAAGACAAACAGAAAAATGTTGTGTTCATAACTCAGGCACAGAAACTTTGTTAGAATCCAGGCCATCCACGTGGGCTAGCTTGACTGGAATGCCAGGTGACCCTTTACTGGTATGAAAAATGTACTTTTTTTTTTTCCTTTTAGATGAAAACATCCTTATAAAGGAAATCCAAGTATGCACGAAAGAAGCTTTTAAGCTTAGCCAGGGAACCACAGTTAAAAAGTACGGCATACATATCAGACTCACTCCATGGATATCTACATGTATGTGCATATATATTTATGTTTATATACCATGGAAACAAACTTTATAAAATATTACTTATCCTTATTATATGTGATGTATTCTGCACTAGATCTTAGCCAAAAGGCCAAGAAGTGATATGTGATGTGTTCTGATGCTATGGATCCTATTTTACTTCTTTTTTAAGTTGATCATTATTTGGTAATTGATATGTTGATTTTAAAACCACTTCTGTGTACAATATTAGATTTTGAAACCCATTTCACTAAAGATAATGAAAGAGAGTAGAAGGCTCTGATACCATGACACTTCAATCATAATACAACATTTGGCCCTGGGACAGTTACTTTACCTTTTTAGGTCACGAGTCACTGGGATTCTTTCACTTTTAACTTGTCAAGTTTTTATTTATCTATTTATTAGAGACAAGGTCTCCCTCTGTCACCCAAGCTGGAGTGCAGTGTCACCATCATAGCCCACTGCAGCCTTAAACTCCCGGGCTCAGGTGATCCTCCCACCTCAGCCTCCTGAGGAGCTAGGACTAAGAGGCACACCCCACCATGCCTGGCTAATTTTTTTTTATTTGATTGTAGAGATGGGGTCTCGCTGTGTTGCCTGGGCTGATCTCAAACTCCTGGGCTCAAGCGATCCTCTTGTCTTGACCTCCCAAAGCACTAGGATTATAGATGTGAGCTGTTGTGCCTGGCTACCTGCTGAGATTTTTATGTATGGCACCTATATATAGGTAAAGCAAAAACATCCTGAAACCAACTTCATGTGATGAGATTATTTTGGAATTCCTATGTTGATTCAAAGTTGTGGGTTACAGCAGGCGGAGGTGGCAGTGAGCCGAGATCCCGTCACTGCACTCTGGACTGGGCAACAGAGTGAGACTCCGTCCCAAAAAAACAAAAACAAACAAACAAACAAAAACAAAGTTGGGGGTTAAAAATAGGGAGAAAATCCATTTTCTTCTGGCACTACACTGAGCTTTGGGTGGCCCCTAAATTTGTCAGAATTTTTTTGGTTGCATGTAGCAGAACTTCCTCCCATCCAAACAACACAGAAAAAATTACTGGCTTAAAGTCAAATGGTCCAAGGTCTGTATAGGTGTCAGCATAGCTGGCTCCTGATTCTGAGATGATGCCACTATTCTTCTCCATCTCTGGGTCCTGCTTTCCTCTCTGTTTGCTTTATTCTCTCCTGTTACAGACAGGGCACCCCCTTGCACCAGAGAAGATGTTTAGTAGCAGCCTGACAACCGACAGGAAAGAGGGTACCTCTCCTGACTCTTTCAGCAAAAGCTCAGGCTTCTCATGATCCCAGCTTGGGCTACATGCCCATTTCTGAGCCAATCACTGTGAACAGGGACATGCCTTTCTCCAGTTACTCAGGTCTGCGTCATGTGCCTACCCACGGTGCATAGTAGTGGAGTCAGATCAACCAAATCAAACAAATTTGAGAATGTCATTATTACACAAAGGAAAACCAACTGGCCATTTCTAAAAGACAGGGGCAAGAATTTTAAGCGGATGATGAAAACAATGGCCACTACTGTCCTCTAAGCAGATGTCTTTGTCTGTTTTGTGTTGCTATAAAGGAATACCTGAGGTTGGGTAATTTATAAAGATGAGGTTTATTTAGCTCACAGTTCTGCAGGCTGCATAAGCAGCACAGGGCTGGTGTCTCCCTAGTTTCTGGTAAGGGCTTTTGTTTTGGTTTGTTCGTCTTTTGAGATGGAGTCTCTTTCGCCCAGGCTGGAGTGCAATGGTGTGATCTCACTCACTGCAACCTCCGCCTCCCAGGTTCAAGTGATTCTCCCGCCGGAGCCTCCCGAGTAGCTGGGATTACAGGCACCCACCACCAATCCTGGCTAACTTTTTTGTATTTTTAGTAGAGCCAGCGTTTCACCATGTTGGCCAGGCTGTTCTCGAACTCCTAACCTTAGGTGATCCATCCGCCTCAGCCTCCCAAAGTGCTGGGATTACAGGCATGAGCCACTGCTCCTGGTCTAGTAAGGGCTTTTGAGTTGCATCAAAACATGGTGGAGAAAGTCAAATGGGCACCAGACACGTGTGAAGATGGATCAAACCTGGAATCATCCTGGCTTTATAACAACCAATCTGGTGAGAATGAATCCATTCCTGAGAGAGCAAGAACTGTTATATCTGTCTCCATGATCCAAACACCTCCCACAAGGCCCCACCTCCCCACACTACCTCACTGGGGATCCAATTTCAACATGAAATTTGTTGGAGACAAACACGCCACATCCAAACCATAGCCCCAGATATACCACCAATCCCTCCCTGTTATTTATTTATTTATTGAGTATCTTTTTTGAGATGGAGTCTTGCTCTCTTGCCCAGGTTGGAGTGCAGTGGCGTGATCCCAGCTCACTGCAACCTCTGCTTCCTGGGTTCAAGGCATTCTCCTGCCTCAGCCTCCTGAGTAGCTGGGATTACAGGCGCCCACCACCACCCCCAACTAATTTTTGTATTTTTGTAGAGACGGGGTTTCACCATGTTGGCCAGGCTGGTCTCCAACTCCTGATCTCAGGTGATTCACCTCGGCCTCCCAAAGTGCTGGGATTACAGGCATGAGCCACTGCGCCTGGCCTCCCTCCCTCTTATTTAATCTTAAAAGTACAGAGAAGAAGCTGGAATTTTATCACTATACTTGGAGAATACTTTTCATCCAGAGAAATCCTGACATTTTCTCTCTGCAATGTCTTAGAAGTTAGAAGGTGTGACAAGGGATTCTCCTAGCTTTCAGATGGAAAACTTAATGTGCCATGAATTTCTGGTCATAAGCCTAAGAAGTAAAAACTCTTTGGGGCCTTTTAGAAGTTATCTCTCTAGCTTTACACTCATGGCTTATAATGTCGTAATTGCCTGGTGGTTGTACTGCAGCTGCCTTTGCAAACGGAGTTTCAACCCGCAGGTCACCTTGGATTAACCAATGTATTGTGTACTCAACCGACGGGCTGAACTGCCAGAGTCATGAATACTTGCTCTGTCTCACACTGAAAAGCACATAGAAAGGGAAAACACATACATACATACAAAACCTTAACACAATTTGACAAAAAGGGGGAAAGCATATTGGAAAAACATGGCTTGAGTGTGATTATTTTCCTCCATTTCACCGAACACCATTATTCTGGGAAGCAATGCAAACAGAGCTGAGGCTTTCAGACTGCAAATATTATTGCTCTGCATTGACGTGATAAACTTGCTGAAACAGAAGAAGACAGAATAGAAGGAATAGTCATGGACATTTTAGCATACAACCCTCTATGTAAGACTAACAGGGCCAGAGTTTGGGGTTTTGCTCGTTTGCTTGCTTTGTCTTGTTTTTTTTTTTTTAATTAGTTTGGATTTTGTTTTTGTAACAATTTCTCATAGAATATTTCAGTTCACATTGGGGAAAGGCTACCTGGCTGTGATGTAGGCACATTTATCATCATAAGAAATGGACAGATTTCCTTTGATAACACTATTTTGCGTGGGGTTTTAGACACAAAATACAATAATTATTTCTTTGTAGATACCACATACGAAACACAGAAACTAGTGGTTTTCTCACTGCATAGAACATTTTCCCTTCCTTTACCCTTGTATTTTCTCAGCCTTCAGATCTTGGCTTAAATGTCAGGCCATAGTTTCTTAAACATTAAACATAAGCAAAAGTAAACAAAACAACCATACCATCAAGCAATTCCATTTCTAAGAATCTATTCCAAGAGAAATAAAAACATATATCCACAAAAAATCTTGTACATGAATATTCATAGCAACATTATTCATGATAGCCAAAAAGTGGAAACCACCCAAATATGCATCAACTGGTGAATGGGTAAACAAAATGTGGTAGAGCTGCCCAATGGAATATTATTCAGCCATAAAAAGGAAAGAAGGCCAGGAGTACTGGCTTATGCCTGTAATCCCAGCACTTTAGGAGGCCAAGATTGGTGGATTACTTGAACTCAGGAGTTCAAGGCCAGCCTGGGTAACATGGTGAAACCCCGTCTCCACACACACAAAAAAAATTAGCTAGGTATGGTGCTGTGCACCTGTAGTCCCAGCTACTCAAGAGGCTGAGGTGGAAGGATCAATGGATCCCAGAAGGTGGAGGTTACAGTGAGCTGTGAACATGCCACTGCACTCCAGCCTGGGTGACAGAGCGAGACTCCACCTCAAAAAAAAAAAAACAAACCACGAATACATGCTACAACATGGATGAATCTACAAAATATGCTAAATGAAAGAAGGTGACACAAAAGAGCACATGCTGTATGATTCCATTTACATGAAATGTATCGGAAAAATACATCTATAGAGACAGAAAGTAGATTAGTGATTTCCTATGGCTGGAGGTGGGAAGAGGGATTAACTTAATCAGGCATGTGGCTTCTTACTGGGGTAACGACAATGTTCTAGCTTGTGTTATGATGATAGTTATACAACTCAGCATATTTACTTTCTCTTGTTACCTAATTTAGAACTAGGCTGCCCAGGTTTGAATCCACTCCCTAACTTTGTGACCATGAGCAAGTTATTTAACTACATTATTTCATCATTGGAAGATGGAATTTTCATGAGATGTTAAGGTTCTTGTAAAAATTAAATGAGATGATACACATACATGTTAATACATGTGCAGTGCTTAGAACAGTGCCTGGGACATAGTAAGTGCTTCTCAGGTGTTTGTTATTATCTGTATATCCCATATCTAGACAGATACAAAATAATGTACGTCTGCTTGGCTTTTGACTGCCTAGAAGTGTTTGTGTTCACTTTAGGCTTGCATCACAGGCATCTGTACACTCTTCAACAGCAAATGCTCACAGGGTCTCACTCTGCCACTCAGGCTGGAGTGCAGTGGTGTGGTCATGGCTCACTGCAGCCTTAACCTCCCTGGACTCAGGTGAACCTCCCACCTCAGCCTCATGAATAGCTGGGACTAGAGGTACATGCCACCATGCCCAGCTAATGTTTGTGGTTTTTGTAAGGACAGAGTTTCACCATGTTGCCCACACTGGCCTCAAACTCCTAGGCCAAGCAAACCACCCATCTTTGCCACCAAAACCAAGAGATCCTTTAATCCCTAGTCTTGGGTTCTCATCAATGTAGGTTGTCTTTTAGTAACAACTCAACAAACTCTTATTTTATTTTATTTTATTTTATTTTTTAGACTGAGTCTCACTCTGTCACCTGGTGGCATAAACTTGGCTCACTGCAACTTCCGCCTCCTGGGTTTAAGCAATTCTCCTGTGTCAGCCTCTCAAGTAGCTGGGATTACAGGCACCTGCCACCATGCCCAGCTAATTTTTTTCATTTTAGTAGAGACAGGGTTTCACCATGTTGGCCAGGCTGGTCTCGAACTTCTGACCTCAAGCAATCCACCCACCTCGGCTTCCAAAGTGCTGGGATTACAGGTGTAAGCCACCATGCACAGCCAACAAAGTCTTTTGTACTAGCATTTATTCCATTTGTTCATCGATTAATTGAACATTTATTGAATATACATTAATTGAATGCCAACGATATACCAGTGTCCTAGGTGCTGGGGATTATATATGGAATGAGACACAATCTCTGTCCTTAATAAGTTTATAGTCAGAATGAGAGGTCCCCAAAACTAACTGGGCATGAGAAAAACAATAGGATAATAAGGTGGGATGTGGAGCAGGAAGGTTTTAGCCTTCTCTCTCTCCCGTCACTAACCTGCATCAATCCCTGAAAGCTACTTCTAATTTAAAACACAATTGTTTTAAAACTATGTAATATATGAATAAAAACACCTTAGAAATAGAAAACTTTGCTATTTTTGTTGATCTGTAAGAGGCAACGTAAAAGCAGTGTGGTTGTTATGCAGACAATTTTATGGTAATTCTCCTATGGGTCACTCTCTCAAATTCCGATCCTGAGTTTCTTCTCTATAGCAATTCTGTAGCTTTCAACATGCCGTAAAGTTTTGCTTATTCGTTTACTCTATTTTTTGAGATGGCATCTGACTCGGTTGCCCAGGCTGGAGTGAAGTGGCGTGATCACAGCTCACAGCAGCCTCCACCTCCTCAGGCTCAGGTGATCCTCCCACCTCAGCCTCCTGGGTAGCTGGGACTACAGGTGTGCGCCACCACGCCTGGCTGATTTTTTGGTAGAGACAGGGTTTCACCGTGTTGCCTAGGGCGATCTCAAACCCTGGGCTCAAACAGTGCTCCCACCTTGTCCTCTCAAAGTGTTGGGATTACAGGTGTGAG